>NT_167219.1:0-211173 GCF_000001405.40 Homo sapiens
GAATTCTCACATGTCTCTGCACTGATCACCCAGGTGATGTAACTCCTGTCTAGGTTCAGCCTACAGGAGCATTTTGACATATTTCTGCACTGATCACCCAGGTGATGTAACCCTTGTCAAAGCTCTGCCTACAGGGACATTGTGACAGATCTCTCCACTGCTCACCCAGGTGATGTAACAATTGTCTGGGCTTTGCCTACAGGGGGCTTTGTGATATACATTTCCACTGATCAAACAGGTGATGTAACCCTTCTCAAGGTTCTGCTTACAGGGGATTTGCGACATATCTCTGCATTGATCACCCCAGGGAGGAAGCACTTGTCTACACTCTGCCTACAGGAGGCTTTATGACTTATCCCTGCTCTGATCACTAGGTGATGTAACACTTGTCTAGGCTCTGTCTACACGGGAATTTTCATATATCTCTACACTGATCACCTAAGTGATGTAACCCTTGTCTAGCTTCAGCTTACTGGGGATTTCTCACATACCTATGCCCTGATCACTGAGGTGATGTAAATCATTTCCAGGCTTTTTGTACAGGGGACACTGTGATATATCCCTGCACTGATCACCCAAATGATGCAAATCTACTCTAGGCTCCGCAGGGAGGGGGCATTGTGACAGATTTCTGAACTTATCATCTGGGAGATATAACTATTCTCCAGGATTTGACGAAAGGGCTTCAGAAGGTGTTGGGAGAGCCTCAGCCAGAATTTCACGGACAGACAAGGGCACAGAGAGGCGAGCAAGCTCCCTTGCACAACAGCCAGTGTGTGCAATGAGCGCAGGTTTAGCCACGAGTCCAGCAAAGAGAGCTAGAGGTCTGCGTTCTGCCGCCAGGAGCTCCATGGTGGCAGCTGGGAGGCTGCAGTGGCACGGGCGGGCCGGCGACGGTGGCGCAGAGGCTTAGAGGTGGGGAGCCGCCGGAAGGGTGTCAGGCCTGGACGCTGCGTGGGCCCAGTGTTTCCCGGGACAGTGGTCTCCACCCAGCCTGGAGACCAGGAGTGATATCTGGTTTCAGAGTCGAAGGACCAGGCACCTGGGAGAGGTGGGCAGGGCGCCTGCGCAGGTGGTGGCCTGTGCAACGTGGTCCCCTGTGGGTGTCACCCTGCTCCCTCGTGGGTCACCTTTGCCCACACCGGCACAAGGGCAAGGAGTCTTCCCGCACCCCACGTGCCTTGCTCCTGGGGCTCTCCCACAGGGGGCTTTCGTGAGCCAGGGAGCGAGGGCCGTCCCTGTGCTCCAGCCCAGCCAGGCCGCGCCAGCAGAGGGGATCCCCCAACCTGCCCCGGCAGGCGGGGATTTTGCCAATTCTGCCCTGACTCCTCCGGAATGGGAGCTCTCCCACCCTCAGTCTTCTCGGTGGCCTCTGCAGCTGGGCAAAAGCTGGGAGGACCGGGACGCGCAGCGCGACAGCTTGCTGGACCCTTGCGCGGTGGGACCGCCTGGGCCTGCTCAAGCGGGGCCACAGGGCCAAGGTGTGCTTGTGCCACCCAAGTCCTAGGGGAGTCCGTCGTGGGGCTGTGGCCGGTGTCCGCAGGTCGCCGGGGCGGCGTGGGAACCCCAGGACGGGACAGCTCCACCATGTCAGTCCGCCCCCCCAGAGGCCTCGCCTGGCAGGGGCAGATGCAAGGCATCCCGGCGCTCTCACAGGCCCTCCAGGAGCGGGGACGCTTGTCTGCACTCCCCTCCGGCCTGATGCTGGATGAGATCCTGGAGAGCTTGGAGTTTCTGCAGCAGATGCAACCTTTCCTAGAAACGGAGGCCCCGGGAGAGCTGGAGGCCTTGGAAGAGTCCGCCTTGCTGGAAGCACCCCTCAGAGAGGAAGAATACCGGGCTCTGCTGGAGGAGCTTCAGGACACGGGGTTGGGACAGGGTCATGTCGGGGCAGGGCTGTGGCCTCTCTTTCACGGGGAACACCTGACTGGCTGTGGAGGGGCGTGTCTTCCCCCAGCCCCCTCCACCGGGCTGACCGGCCTGGGATTCCTGCCTTCTAGGTCTAGGCGAGCTGAGAGAATCCACACAGTGGAGAACTGCCATTCTTTCCTGGGCATCCCTGGGATCCCAGGGCCAGCCCAGGTACCAGCAGTTGGGCCGCCAACTGTGCACGTGCGGGTTTGTGGGCAGCCGCCTGGGCTGTGGGAGCAGCCTGGGCAGAGCTCTCTTGCCTTAACACTACCCCACACCCGCCTGACCACCCCCTCCCCACCCCCACTCCCCACCCCGAGAAAACGCGTTCTCCCCTGGCCTGGGTGGAGACCCCGTCCTGTGAAACACTGGGCATGCGCAGCGTCCTGTCCTGACATCCCTGCAGTGTATTGCATCCTCTGCGCCTCTGCACCACCGTAGCCTGCCCGCGCATTCCCCTGAAGCCTCCCAGCTGCCACCATGGAGTGCCTGGCAGCGGAACGCAGACCTCTAGCTCTCTTAGCTTGCATCCTGGCTAGACCTGCACTAATTGCACACCTGGCTGATGTGCAAGGGAGCCAGCTGGCCTCTCTGTGCCCTTTTCCATCCATGAAATTCTGGCTGAGGTTCTCCCAACACCTTCCGACGCTCTTTCATTAAAGCCTGGAGAATAGTTACAACTCCTGGATGATCAGTTCAGAAACATGTTACAATAACCCTTCCCTGTGGAGCCTAGAGAAGATTTCCATCATCTGGGTGATCAGTGCAGAGACATATCACAATGTCCCCTGTACAAAAAGCCTGGAAATGATTTACATCACCTCGGTGATCAGTGCATAGTTATGTCAGAAATCCCCAGTAGGCTGAACCTAGACAAGGGTTACATCACTTAGGTGATCAGTGCAGAGATATGTGAAAATTCCCGTGTAGACAGAGCCTAGACAAGTGTTACATCACCTAGAGATCAGTGCAGGGATAAGTCGTAAAGCCTCCTGTAGGCAGAGTGTAGACAAGTGTTTCCTCCCTGAGGTTATCAGTGCAGTGATATGTCCCAAAGCCCCTGTAAGCAAAACCTTGACAAGTGTTACATCACCTGCTTGATCAGTGGAAATGTATATCACAAAACCCCGTCTAGGCAAAGCCCAGATAATTGTTACATCACCTGGGTGAGCAGTGGAGAGATCTGTCACAATGCCCCAGTAGCCAGAGCTTAGACAAGGGTTACATCACCTGGGTGATCAGTGCAGAGATATGTCAAAATGCTCCTGTAGGCTGAACCTAGACAACAATTACATCACCCAGGTGATCAGTGCAGATATATGTGAGAATTCCCGTGTAGGCAGAGCCCAGAGAAGTGTTACATCACCTAGGTTATCAGTGTGGGTATAAGTCATAAAGCCTCCTGTAGGCAGAGCATAGACAAGAGATCCCTCCCCAGGGTGATCAGTGCAGAGATGTGTCACAAAGACCCTTTAGGCAGAGCCTAGACAAGAGTTTCATCACTTGGTTGATCAGTTCAGAGATGTGTCACAATGTCCATGTAGGCAGATCTAAGACAAGGCTCCATCACCTGGGTGATCAGTGCAGAGATATGTACCAACGTCCCCTGTAAGCAGGGCCTAGACAAGAGTTGCATCACCTCAGAGATCAGTGCATAGATATGTCACAAACCCTTCTGTAGGTAAAGCCCATACAAGACTTACATCACCTAGTTGATCAGTGCAGTGATATGTCACAAAAATACCTGTAGACAGAGCCTAGACAAGAGTTACATCACCTGGGTGATCAGTGCAGATATTTGACACAATGCCCACATAGACAGCCTAGAGAAGACTTCCATCACCTGGGGGATCAGTGCAGAGATATGTCACAAATCCCCCTCTAGGCAGAGCACAGAGAATAGTCCCATCACCTGGGTGATCAGTGCAGTGATATTTCACACTGCCTCCTGTAGGCAGAGAGTGGACAAGAGTTACATAACCTAGGTGATCTGTGTAGAGATAAGTCACAATCCCCCCTGTAGGTGGAAGCTTGACAAGAGTTACATCACCTGGGTGATCAGTGCAGAGATATGTTACAAAGCCCCAGTAGGGAGAGCCTAAACAAGAGTTACATCAACTGGGTGATCAGTGCAGAAATACGTCACAAAACAGTGGTAGCCCGAGCCTAGACAAGAGTGACATATCCTGGCTGATCAGTGCAAAGATATGTCACAAAGCCACCTGTAGACAAATCCCAGAAAATTCATACATCACCTGGGTGATCAGTGGGACATCTGTCACAATTCTCCTTTAGGCACAGCTTAGACAAGTGTTACATCACATGAGTGATCAGTGCAGAGATATGTCACTATGGCCCCATAGGCAGATCCAAGACAAGAGTCCATCACCTGGGTGATCAGTGCAGAAATATGCCATAATGCCTCCAGTAGACAGATATAGACAAGAGTTACATCACCTGCGTTATCACTGCAGAGATATGTCAAAAAGCCCCTTTAGGCAGAACCTAGACAAGGGTTACATCTCCTGGGTGATCAATGCAGAGATGTGTCACAAGCTCCCTGTAGCCAGAGCCTAGACAAGAGTTACATCAGCTGTGTGATCAGTGCAGTGACATGTCCCAATGTCCCTGTAGCCATATCCTTGAGAAAACTAACATCATCTGGGTGATCAGTGTGGAGATATGTCACAATGCCTCCAGTAGGCAGAGCCTAGACAAGGGTTACATCACCTGGGTGATCATGGAAGAGATATGTCACAATGCCCCCTGTAAGCAGATCCAAGACAAAAGGTACATCACCTCAGCGATCAGTGCACAGATATGTCCCAATGTCCCTCTAGGCAGAGCTTAGACAAGAGTCACATCTCCTGAGTGATAAGTGCAGAGATAAGTCACAATGCACCCATAGGCAGAGCCTAGACTAGAGTTAAATAACCAGGGTAATCCATGCAGAGTGATGTCACAAAGCCCTCTTTAGGCAGAGACTAGAAAAGAGTTGCATCACCTGGGTGATCAGTGCAGAGATATGTCACAATGTCCCTGTAGGCAGAGCATAGAGAAGTGTTGTATCACCTGAGCGATCAGTGCAGAGATATGTCACAATGCCCCCATAAGCAAATCCAAGACAAGAGTCCGTCACCAAGGTGATCAGTGCAGAAATATGTGACAATGCCCCCAGTAGGCAAAGCCTAGAGAACAGTCCCATTACCTGGGTGATCAATGCAGAGATATTTCACAATATCTCTGCCCTACAGGCAGAGTATAAGCAAGAGTTACATCACCTACATGATCAGTGCAGAGATATGTCACAATGCCGCCTGTAGGCAGAGTATAGAGAAGAGTTGCAGCACCTGGGTGATCAGTGCAGGGATATGTCACAATGTCCCCTTTAGGCAGAGCATAGAGAAGAGTTGCATCACCTGGGTGATCACTGCGGAGATATGTCACAATGTCCCCTGTAGACAAAGCCTAGGCAAGAGTTACATCACCTTTCTCATCAGTTCAGGAATATGTGAAAACGCCCCTGTAGGCAGAGCCTGGACAAGAGTTACATCACCTAGTTGATCAGTGCAGAGATATTTCACAATACCCTCTGTAGGCAGACCCTAGACAAGAGTTGATTCTCCAGGGTGATCAGTGCAGAGATATTTCACAATGCCCCCTTTGGGCAGAGGGTACACAAGAGTTACATCACCTAGGTGATCAGTGCAGAGATTTATCAAAATTCCCTGTAGGCAATGCTTATAAAAGTGTTACATCACCTAAGTGATCAGTGTAGAGATATGTCACAAAGCTCCTGTAGGCAGAACTTAGATGAGTTACATCACCTGGGTGATCAGTGCAAAGTATGTCACAAAGCCCCCGGTAGGCACAGCCTAGAAAGTAGTTATATCACTTGGGTGATCAGTGGCGAGATCCCCCACAATTCCCTTTAGTCAGAATTATACAACAGTTACATCAACTGGGTGATCAGTGCAGAGATATATCACAATGCCCCCATAGGCAGATACAAGACAAGAGTCCGTAACCAGGGTGATCAGTGCAGAAATATGTCACAATGCTCCCATAGGCAGATCCAAGACAAGAGTCCGTCACCTGGGTGATCAGTGCAGAAATATGTCACAATGCCCCCTTAACAGAACCTAGAAAAAAGCCCCATCACCTGGATGATCAGTGCAGAGTTATGTCACAATGTCCCTTTAGGCAGATCCTAGACAAGAATTACATCCCTTGGATGATGAGTGCAGAGATATGTCACAATGCCACTGTAGGCAGAGCCTAGACAAGAGTTACATGACCTAGGTGATCAGTGCAGAGATACATTGCTATGTCCCTGTAGGCAGAGCCTTGACAAGTGGTACATCACCTGGGTAATCATTGCAGGGATGTGTCACAAAGCACCCTGTAGGCAGATCCTAGAAAGGAGTAACATCACCTGGTTGATCAGTGCAGAGATGTCACAATGCCACTGTAGGCAGAGCCTAGACAAGAGTTACATGACCTATGTGATCAGTGCAGAGATATATCGCAATGCCCCTGTAGGGAGAGCCTTTACTAGAGTTATATCACCTGGGTGATCAGTGCAGTGATATGTCACAATGCCATGTAGCCTGAGCCTAGACTAAAGTTATAGCACCTGGGGGATCAGTGCAGAGATATGTCACAATGTCCCCAATAGGCAGAGACCAGGCAAGAGTTGGATCACCTTGGGATCAGTGCAGAGATATGTCTCAATCCCCCTGTGGGCACAGCCTAGACGACAGTTACATCACCTCGGTTAACAGTGCAGAGATACGTCAAGGTGCCCCTGTAGGCCGAGCCTACAAAAATGTTACATCAGTCAGGTGATCAGTGCAGAGATATGTCACCATACCCCCTGTAAGCAGAGCCTAGACAAGAGTTACATCACCTGGGTGATCAGTGCAGAGATATGTGACAAGGCCCCTTTAAGCAGAGCCTAGACAATAGTTACATCACCTGAGTGATCAGTGCAGAGATCTGTCACAATGCCCCTTTAGGCAGAGCTTAGACCAGAGTTACATCACCTGGGTGATCAGTGCAGAGATATGTTACAATGACCCCGTAGGCAAATCCAAGAGGAGAGTCCGCCACCTGGGTGATCAGTACAGACATATGTGACCATGCCCCCAGTAGGCAGGGCCTAGGGAAGAGTCTCATCACCCTGGTGATCAGTGCAGAGATATTTCACAATGCCTCTGCAGGCAGAGCGTAAGCAAGTGTTACATCACCTAGATGATCAGTGCGGAGATATGTCACAAGGCCCCCTATAGGCAGAGCCTGGACAAGAGTTACATCACCTCTGTGATCAGTGCAGTGATATGTCACTATGCCCCGTAGGTAGAGCGTAGTCAAGCGTTACATCACCTGGGTGATCACTGCAGAGATATGTCACAATGTCCCCATACACGGAGCCTAGAAAAGAGGCCCATCACCTGGGTGATCCGTGCAGAAATATGTCACAATGCCCCATAGGCAAATCAAACACAAGAGTTGCATCACCTGGGTGATCAGTGTAGAGATATGTCACAATGCCCCCATAGGCAGAGCCCAGAGAAAAGTCCCATCACCTGGGTGATTAGTGCAGAGATATGTCACAAAGCCCCTGTAGGCAGAGCCTAGACAAGTGTTACATCATTTTGTTGATCTGTTCAGAGATGTGTCATGCTGACTGTTTGCTTCTGGAGCTCTGTGGGCACCCGGAAACATGCAGGGAAGGGTGGAAGACCAGCATGGTGCCTTCGCTCTCCTTGTCAGTTTCCAAACCGGCCACACTGCAGACTCCCCATGTTAGCGCACATGGGAATCCATCGTCAGGTCATCACGCCGGGGGGACGTCTTCTCTCTGGGGTCTCGCTCTGGTCTCCCACTTGGAAATGAACGAGAGTCACACGCCTGCATGTGTGAGACTGTGCCGGCAATGGCGACACCCACAAGCACTGCCTCCTTCACGGAGAGATGGCCTGGAACACTCAAAACTCCCATGGAGGTTCAGTTCCACACTCCCCTCCACTCTCCCAGGCCGGTTTATCCCTGCTGAAGATGCGTGGGAGCCCAGAGAGCGGCTTCCAGTTCCTGCGGGATTCCTGGAGAAGTCCGGAGAGCCAGCCCCCGAAACGCACCCACCTCACCACTTCCCCCTCGCCCCCTTCATCTTCGTGTGTCCAGCCCCACCACCATCATCACCACGCACTCCCCCCCACCACACCACCCCCCGGCCGCAGGCCTCGATGCCCTGTGTCCCTTCCAGGGTGGGGCGGGCTGTCCCAGGTCTCATTGCCATTCATGAAGGGGTGGAGCGTGCCTGCCTGTGGGCCTTTATAAGAGTCGCTGGTGGATATCCAGGCAGGCCTCCTGGCTGCACATGCCGCAGTGTGCATGTCGGCTGAGGTGTACGGGAGCCCGCCGGCCTCTCTCTGCCCATACCGTCCATGCAATTCTGGCCGGGGCTCCCCGCGATGGCCTTCCCAAAGCCTTCTGACAGCAGCCTCCCCGCAGAAGCCCACAGACGGGGACAGCGAGGGATAGTCTTTTGCACCCCGAGCCAAAGCTAGGCAATGAGAGCCTGTTTGAGCAGAACCCGTACCGGGGCATCACCGCAGAGAATGGGTGGCCCAGGCCATCGACATTCCCAATCCCAGGGTCCAGATTTTGTTTCAGAATGAGAGGTCATACCAGGTGAGGCAGCACCGGCGGGAATCTCGGCCCTGGCCCAGGACACGTGACCCGTAAGAAGGCAGGAGAAAGCAGACCACCGTCAAATGATCGCAGACTGACCTGGTCCTCCCAGCCTTTGAGAAGGATCGCTTTCCAGGCATCGCTGCCAGGGAAGAGCTGGCCAGAGAGACGGGCCTCCCAGAGTCCAGTATTCAGATTTGGTTTCAGAATCGAAGGGCCAGGCACCAGGGACAGGCTATCAGGGCATCCATGCAGGCAGTCGGCCTGTGCAACGCGGCCCCCATCGGGTGTCACCCTGATCCCTCGTGTGTCACCTTCACCCACACCATCGCGTGGGAAACGGGGCTTCCCGCGCCCCACGTGCCCTGCACGCCTGGGGCTCTCCCACTGGGGGATTTCGTGAGCCAGGGAGTGAGGGCCATCCCCGTGCTCCAGCCCAGCCAGGCCGTGCCTGCAGGGGTTATCTCCCAACCTGCCCCGGCACTAGGGATTTTGCCTACACTGCCCCGGCTCCTCCGGAAGGGGCACTCTCCCACACTCAGGCTCCTCGGTCGCCTCCGCAACCGGGCAAAATCCAGGAGGACCGGGACCTGCAGCACGATGGCCTGCCGGGCCCTTGTGCGGTGGGACAGCCAGGGCCCGCTCATGCGGGGCCACAGGGCCAAGGTGTGCTTGCGCCACCCGCATCCCAGGGGAGTCCGTGGTGGGGCTGGGGCCGGGGTTCCCAGGTCGCTGGGGTGGCGTGGGAACGCCAAGCAGGGGAAGCTCCACCTCGCCAGCCCTTGCCCCCGGAGGCCTCCCCGCAGCAGGAGCAGATGCAATGCATCCTGGCGCCCTCCCAGGCGATTCAAGAGCCAGGGCGCTCATCTGTACTCCCCTCCGGCCTGCTGCTGGATGAGCTCCTGGCGAGCCTGGAGGTTCTGCAGCAGGTGCAAACTTTCCTATAAACTGAGGCCCCGGGGGAGCTGGAGGCCTTGGAAAAGGCTGCATCGCTGGGAGCACCCCTCAGCGAGGAAGAATATTGGGCTCTGCTGGAGGAATTTTAGGACACGGGGTTGAGACGGGGTCAGGATGGGGAAGGGCGGTGGCCTCTTTTTCGTGGGGAACACCTGGCTGGCTATGGAGGGGTGTGTCTTCCCCCCGACCCCTCCACTGGGCTGACCGGCCTGGGATTCCTGCCTTCTAGTTCTAGGCACAGTGAGAGACTGCACCCAGTAGAGAACTGCCATTCGTCCCTGGGCAACCCGGGGATCCAAGAGCCGACCCAGGTACCAGCAGGTGGGCCGCCTACTGTGCACGTGCAGGTTTGCAGGCAGCCGCCTGGGCTGTGGGAGCAGCCTGGGCAGAGCTTTCATGCCTTTCCACCACCCCACACACGCCTGACCATGCCATCCCCACCACACCACCCTCCCCCGGAAAATGCGTCCTTCCCTGGGCTGGGTGGAGACCCCCATCCCGTGAAACACCGGGCCCGTGCAGCGTCCAGGCCTGACACCCCTCCAGCGCCTTGCCTCCTCTGCGCCTACCGTCCACTGTCGCCATCCCGCCCGTGCCCCTGCAGCCTCCCAGCTGCCACCATAGAGCGCATGGCAGCGGAACGCAGACTTCTATCTCTCTTTGCTGGCCTCCTGGCTAGGCCTGCGCTCATTGCGCACACCGGCTGACTTGCAAGGGAGCCCGCTGGTCTCTCTGTGCCCTTCTCCGTCTGTGAAATTCCAGCTGAGGCTCTCCCAACACATTCCGAGGCTCTTTAGTCAAAACCTGGTGAATAGTTACATATCCTGGATGATCATTTCAGAAATATGTCACAAGGCCACCTCCCTTTCGATCCTAGAGAAGATTTGCATCCTTTGGGTGATCAGTGCAGAGATATATCACAATGTTCCCTGTACAAAAATCCTGGAAATGATTTACAACACCTTGGTGATCAGTGCATAGGTATGTCAGAAATTCCCAGTAGGCTGAAACTAGATAAGGGTTACATCACGTAGGTGATCAGTGTAGAGATATGTGAAAATTCCCATGTAGACAGAGCCTAGACAAGTGTTACATCACCTAGTGATCAGTGCAGGGATAAGTCATAAAGCCTCCTGTAGGCAGAGTGTAGACAAGTGTTTCCACCCTGGGGTGATCTGTGCGGAGATATGTCACAAAGCCCATGTAAGCAGAACCTTGAGAAGGGTCACATCATCTGTTTGATCAGTGGAAATGTATATCACAAAGCCCCCTGTAGGCAAAGCCCAGACAATTGTTACATCACCTGGGTGAGCAGTGGAGAGATCTGTCACAATGCCCCTGTAGGCAGAGCCTAGAAAAGGGTTACATCACCTGGGTGATCAGGGCAGAGATATGTCAAAACGCTCCTGTAGGCTGAACCTAGACAGCAGTTACATCACCTGGGTGATCAGTGCAGAGATATGTGAGAATTCCCGTGTAGGCAGAGCCCAGACAAGTGTTAAATCAGCTACGTTATCAGTGCAGGTATAAGTCATAAAGCCTCCAGTAGGCAGAGCGTAGACAAGAGATCCCTCCCCAGGGTGATCAGTGCAGAGATGTGTCACAAAGCCCCTGTAGGCAGAGCCTAGACAATACATTCATCACTTAGTGGATGAGTTCAGAGATGTGTCACTATGTCCATGTAGGCAGATCTAAGACAAGAGTCCATCACCTGGGTGATCAGTGCAGAGATATTTACCAATGTCCCCTGGAGGCAGTGCCTAGACAAGAGTTGCATCACCTCAGATATCAGTGCATGGATATGTCACAAAGCCTTCTGTTGGCAAAGCCCATACAAGGACTACATCACCTTGGTGATCAGTGCAGTGATATGTCACAAAAAATCCCTGTAGGCAGAGACTAGAAAAGAGTTACATCACGTGGGTGGTCAGTGCAGATATTTGACACAATGCCCCCATAGACAGAGCATAGACAAGACTTCCATCACCTGGGAGATCAGTGCAGAGATATGTCACAAATCGACCTCTAGGCAGAGTATAGAGAAGAGTCCCATCACATGGGTGAACAGTGCAGAGATATTTCACAATGCCCGCTGTAGACAGAGAGTGGACAAGAGTTACATAGCCTAGGTGATCTGTGGAGAGGTATGTCAAAACACCGCTGTAGGCAGAGTCTAGATAAATGTTACATCACCTGGGTGATCAGTGCAGAGATACGTCACAATACCCCCTATAGGTGGAGCCTACACAAGAGTAACATCACCTGGGTGATCAGTGAAGAGACTCGTCACAATACGCCCTGTAGGTGGAGCCTAGACAAGAGTTATATCACCTGGGTGATCAGTACAGAAATATGTCACAAAGCCCCTGTAGGCTGAGCCTAGACAAGAGTTACATCTCCTGGATGATCAGTGCCAAGATATGTCACAAAGCCCCCTGTAGACAAATCCTAGAAAATTGTTACATCACCTGGGTGATCAGTGGAGATATCTGTCACAATTCCCCTTTAGGCGCAGCATAGACAAGCGTTACATCACATGAGTGATCAATGCAGAGATATGTCACTATGCCCCCATAGGCAGATCTAAGACAAGAGTCCATCACCTGGGTGATCAGTGCAGAAATATGCCACAATGCCGCCAATAGGCAGATATAGACAAGAGTTACATCACCTGCGTTATCACTGCAGAGATCTGTCACAATGCCCCTGTAGGCAGAGCCCAGTCAAGGGTCCCAACACCTGGGTGATAAGTGCAGAGTTGTGTCACAAAGCCCCCATTTGACAGAGCCTAGAGAGGGGTTACATCACCTGGGTGGTCAGTGCAGAGATGTTTCACAAGTCTCCTGTAGCCAGAGCCTAGACAAGAGTTACATCAACTGTGTGATCAGTGCCCTGACATGTCACAATATCCCAGTAGCCATATCATTGACAAAAGTGACATAACCTGGGTGATCAGTGCGGAGATATGTCACAATGTCTCCAGTAGGCAGAGCCTAGACAAGAGTTACATCACCTGGGTGATCATGGCAGAGATATATCACAATGCCCCCTGTAAGCTGATCCCAGAAATGAGTTGCATCACCTCGGTGATCAGTGCAGAGATATGTCATAAATCCCACTGTAGGCAAAGCCTAGACCAGTTTTACATCACCTCAGTGATCATTACAGAGATATGTCCCAATGTCCCTCTAGACTGAGCTTAGACAAGAGTCACATCTCCTGGGTGATCAGTGCAGAGATAAGTCACAATGCCCCCATAGGCAGAGCATAGACAAGACTTACATAACCTGGGTTATCCGTGCAGAGTTATGTCACAACGCCCTCTGTAGGCAGAGACTAGAAAAGAGTTACAACACCTGGGTGATCAGTGCAGAGATATGTCACAATGCCCCTGTAGGCAGAGCATAGAGTAGAGTTGCATCACCTGGGTGATCAGTGCAGAGATATATCCCAATGTCCTCTGTAGGCAGAGCATAGAGAAGAGTTGCATCACCTGGGAGATCAGTGCAGAGATATGTCACAATGTCCACTGTAGGCACAGCGAAGGCAAGAGTTGCATCACCTGGGTGATCAGTGCAGATGTATGTCACAATGTCCCCTGTAGGCAAAGCCTAGGCAAGAGCTACATCACCTTTGTCATCAGTTTAGGGATATGTGAAAATGCCCCTGTAGGCAGAGCCTTGACAAGAGTTACACCACCTAGTTGATCATTGCAGAGATATTTCACAATACCCCCTGTAGGCATATCTTGGAGAAGAGTTGAATCACCTGGGTGATTTTGTGCAGAGATATTTCGCAGTGCCCCCTTTGGGCAGAGGGTAAACAAGAGTTACATCACCTAGGTGATCATTGCAGAGATTTGTCAAAATTCCCTGTAGGCAGTGCTTATAAAAGTGTTACATATACTAAGTGTTCAGTACAGAGATATGTCACAAAGCTCCTGTAGGCAGAACTTAGATGACTTACATCACCTGGGTGATCAGTGAAAGGTATGTCAGAAAGCCCCCTGTAGGCAAAGCGTAGAAAATAGTTACATCACTTGGGTGATCAGTGGCGAGATCTCTCACAATTCCCCTGTAGGCAGAGCTTTTAAAACAGTTACATCACCTGGGTGATCAGTGCAGAGATATGTCCCAATGCCCCCATAGGCAGATCCAAGACAAGAGTCCGTCACCTGGGTGATCAGTGCAGAAATATGTCACAATGCCCCCTTAGGCAGAGCCTATACGACAGCCCCATCACCTGGATGATCAGTGCAGATATATGTCACAAAGTCCCTTTAGGCAGATCCTAGACAAGTGTTACATCACCTGGGTGAGCAGTGCAGAGATATGTCACAATGCCACTGTAGGCAGAGCCTAGACAAGAGTTACATGACCTAGGTGATCAGTGCAGAGATACATCACAATGCCCCTCTAGGCAGAGCCTTGACAATTGGTATATCACCTGGGTGATCATTGCAGGGATATGTCACAAAGCACCCTGTAGGCAGATCCTAGAGAAGAGTTATATCACCTGGGTGATCAGTGCAGAGATATTTCACAGGACCCCTGTAGGCAGAGCATAGACAAGAGTTATGTCACCTGGGTGATCAGTGCAGTGATTTGTCACGATGCCATGTAGCCAGAGCCTAGAATTAAGTTACAGCACCTGGGAGAACAGTGCAGAGATATGTCACAATGTCCCTAGTAGGCAGAGACCAGGCAAGAGTTGGATCACCTCGGGATCAGTGCAGAGTTATGTCTCAATCCCGCTGTGGGCACAGCCTAGACAAGAGTTACATCATCTCGCTTAGCAGTGCAGAAATATGTCAAAATGCCCCTGTAGGCAGAGCCTACACAAGTGTTACATCACTTAGGTGATCAGTGCAGAGATATGTCACAATACCCCCTGTAAGCAGAGTCTAGACAAGAGTTACATCACCTGGGTGATCAGTGCAGAGATATGTGACAAGGCCCCTTTATGCATAGCGTAGACAAGAGTTACATCTCCTGGGTGATCAGTGCAAAGATACGTCACAAAGCCTCCTGTAGACAAATACCAGAGTATTCTTACATCACCTGGGTGATCAGTGGAGATATCTGACACAATTCCCCTTTAGGCGCAGCTTAGACAAGCGTTACATCACATGAGTGATCAGTGCAGAGATATGTCACTATGCCCCCATAGGCAGATCCAAGACAAGGGTCCATCACCTGTGTGATCAGTGCAGAAATATGTCACAATGCCCCTATAGCCATATCCTTGAGAAAAGTGACATCACCTGGGTGATCAGGGCGGAGATATGTCACAATGTCTCTAGTAGGCAGAGCCTAGGCAGGAGTTACATCACTTGGGTGATCAGGGCTGAGATATGTCACAATGCCCCCTGTAAGAATATCCCAGAGAAGAGTTGCATCACCTCAGTTATCAGTGCAGAGACATGCCTCAATGCCCACTGTCGGCGATGCCTATACAAGAGTCAAATCACCTGGGTGATCAGTGCAGAGGTATCTCACAATACCCCTGTAAGCAGAGCCTAGACAAGAGTTACTTCACCTGGGTTATCAGAGCACAGATATGTCATAAATCCCACTGTAGGCAAAGCCTAGACAAGTTTTACATCACCTCAGTGATCAGTGCAGAGATATGTCCCAATGTCCCTCTAGGCAGAGCTTAGACAAGAGTCACATCTCCTGGGTGATCAGTGCAGAGATAAGTCACAATGCCCACATAGGCAGGCCTAGACAAGAGTTACATCACTTAGGTGATCAGCGTAGAGATACGTGAAAATTGCCCTGTAGACAGAGCTTAGACAAGTGTTACATCACCTAGTGATCAGTGCAGGGATAAGTTGTAAAGCCTCCTGTAGGCAGAGTGTAGACAATTGTTTCCTCCATAGGTTGATCAGTGCAGATATATGTCACAAAGCCCCTGTAAGTAGAACCTTGACAAGGGTTACATCACATGTTTGATCAGTGGAAATGTATATCACAAAGCCCCCTGTAGGCAAAGCCCAGGCAATTGTTACATCACCTGGGTGAGCAGTGGAGAGATCTGTCACAATGCCTCTGTAGGCAGAGCTTAGACAAGGGTTACTTCACTTTGGTGATCAGTGCAGAGATATGTGAGAATTCCCGTGTAGGCAGAGCTGAGACAAGTGTTACATCATCTTGGTTATCAGTGCAGCTTTAAGTCATAAAGCCTCCTGTAGGCAGAGCGTAGACAAGAGATCCCTCCCCAGGGTGATCAGTGCAGAGATGTGTCACAAAGCCCCTGGAGGCAGAGCCTAGACAAGAGTTTCATCACTTGGTTGATCAGTTCAGAGATGTGTCACAATGTTCATGTAGGCAGATCTAAGAAAAGAGTCCATCACCTGGGTGATCAGTGCAGAGTTATATACCAATGTACCATGTAGGCAGTGCCTATAGAAGAGTTGCATCACCTCAGAGATCAGTGCATAGATATGTCACAAATTCTTCTGTAGGCAAAGCCCATAAAAGGCTTACATCACTTAGGTGATCAGTGCAATGGTATGTCACAAAAATCCCTGTAGACAGAGCCTAGAAAAGAGTTACATCACCTGGGTGATCAGTGCAGATATTTGACACAATGCCCCCATAGACAGAGCCCAGACAAGACTTCCATCACCTCGGTGATCAGTGCAGAGATATGCCAGAAATCTCTCTCCAGGCAGAGTGTAGAGAAGAGTCCCATCACCTAGGTGATCAGTGCAGAGATATTTCACAATGCCCTCTGTAGGTAGAGAGTGGACAAGAGTTACAGAACCTAGGTGATCTTTGCAGAGCTATGTCAAAACTACCCTGTAGGCAGAGCCTAGATAATTGTTATATCACCTGGGTGATCAGTGCAGAGATACGTCACAATAACCCCAGTAGGTGGAGCCTAGAGAAGACTTACATTACCTGGGTGAAAAGTACACATATAGGTCACAAAGCCCCTGTAGTCGGAGCCTAGACAAGAGTTACATCACTGGGGTGATCAGTGCACAAACATGTCACAAAGCCCCTGTAGGCCGAACCTAGACAAGAGTTACATCTCCTGGGTGATCAGTACAAAGATATGTCACAAAGCCCCCTGTAGACAAATCCCAGAAAATTGTTACATCACCTCCGTAATTATTAGAGACATCTGTAACAATTCCCCTTTAGTCGCAGCATAGACAAGGGTTACATCACATGAGTGATTAGTGCAGAGATATGTCACTATGCCCCCGTAGGCAGATCCAAGACAAGAGTCCATCACCTGGGTGATCAGTGCAGAAATATGCCACAGTGCCGCCAGTAGGCAGATATAGACAAGAGTTACATTACCTGCATGATCACTGTAGAGATATTTCACAATGCCCCTGTAGGCAGAGCATAGACAAGTGTCCCATCACCTGGGTGATCAGTGCAGAGTTAGTTCACAATGCCCCCTTTTGGCAGAGCCTAGACAAGGGTTACATCACCTGGGTGATCAGTGCAGAGATGTGTCACAAGCCTCCTGTAGCCAGAGCCTAGAAAACTGTTACATCAGCTGTGTGATCAGTGCAGTGACATGTCACAAAGTCCCTGTAGCCATATCCTTGACAAAAGTGACATCACCTGGGTGATCAGTGCTGAGATACGTCACAATGTCTCCAGTAGGCAGAGCCTAGACAAGAGTTACATCACCTGGGTGATCAGGGCAGAGATATGTCACAATGCCCCCTGTAAGCAGATCCCAGAAAAGAGTTGCATCACCTCGGTGGTCAGTGCAGAGATATGTCTCAATGCCCCCTGTGAGCGAAGCCTATACAAGAGTCACATCATCTCGGTGTTCAGTGCAGTGATATGTGAAAATGCCCCTGTAGGCAGAGCCTAGGCAAGAGTTACATCACCTGGTTGACCAGTGCAGAGATATCTCACAATATCCCCTGTAAGCAGAGCCTAGACAAGAGTTACATCACCTGGGTGATCATTGTAGAGATATATCATAAATCTCATTGTATGCAAAGCCTAGAGAAGTTTTACATCACCTCAGCAATCAGTGCAGAGATATGTCCCAATGCCCCCATAGGCAGATCCAAGACAAGTGTACGTCACCTGGGTGGTCAGTGCAGAAATACGTCACAATCCTCCCTTAGGCAGAGACTAGAAAAAATCCCCATCACCTGGATGATCAGTGCAGAGTTATGTCACAAGGTGCCTTCAGGTAGATCCTAGAGAAGAGTTACATCACTTGGATGTTCAGTGCAGAGATATGTCACAATGCCACTGCAGGCAGAGCCTAGACAAGAGTTACATGACCTAGGTGATCAGTGAGGAGATACATCGCTATGTCCCTGTAGGCAGAGCCTTGACAAGCAGTACATCACCTGGGTGATCATTGCAGGGATATGTCTCAAAGTACCCTGTAGGCATATCTTAGAAAAGAGTTACACCACCTGGGTGATCAGTGCAGGGATATGTCACAATGCCACTGTAGGCAGAGCCTAGACAAGTGTTACATGACCTAGGTGATCAGTGCAGAGATACATCGCAATGCCCCTGTATGTAGAGCCTTGACAACTGGTACGTCACCAGGGTGATCATTACAGGGATATATCACGAAGCATGTTGTATTCAGATCCTAGAGAAGAGTTATATAACCTGGGTGATCAGTGCAGAGATATGTCTCAATACCCCCTGTAAGCAGAGCCTAGACAAGAGTTACATCACCTGGGTGATCAGTGAAGAGATATGTGACAAGCCCCTTTAAGCAGAGCCTAGACAATAGTTACATCACCTGAGTGATCAGTGCAGAGATCTCTCACAATAGCCCTTTAGGCAGAGCTTGGACCAGAGTTGCATCACCTGAGTGATCAGCGCAGAGATATGACACAATGTCCCCATAGGCAAATCCAAGACAAGAGTCCGTCACCTGGGAGATCAGTGCAGAAATATGTGACAATGCCCCCAGTACGCAGAGCCTAGAGAAGAGTTCCATCACCTGGGTGATCAGTGCAGAGATATTTCCCAATGCTCCTGCAGGGAGAGCACAAGCAAGAGTTACATCACCTAGATGATCAGTGCAGAGATATCTCACAAGGCCCTCTATAGGCAAATCCCTGACAAGAGTTACATTAATTCAGTGATCAATGCAGTGATATGTCACTATGCCCCGTAGGCAGAGCCTAGTCAAGCGTTACAGCACCTGGGTGATCAGTGCACAGTTATGTCACAATGCCCCCTTTTGGCAGAGCCTAGGCAAGGGTTACATCACAGGGGTGATCAGTGCAGAGATGTGTCACAAGCCCCCTGTATCCAGAGCCTATACAAGAGTTACATCACCTGTGTGATCAGTGCAGTGACATGTCACAGTATCCCTGTAGTCATATCATTGACAAAAGTGACATCACCTGGGTGATCAGTGCGGAAATATGTCACAATGTCTCCAGTAGGCAGAGCCTAGAAAAGAGTTACATCACCTGGGTGATCAGGGCAGAGATATGTCACAATGCCCCCTGTAAGCAGATCCAAGACAAGAGTTGCATCACCTCGGTGATCAGTGCAGAGATATGTCTCAATGCCCCCTGTCGGCGAAGCCTATACAAGAGTTACATCACATGGGTGATCAGAGCAGAGATGTGTCATAAATCCCACTGTAGGCAAAGCCTAGACAAGTTTGCATCACCTCAGCGATCAGTGCAGAGATATGTCACAATGACCCATAGGCAAATCCAAGACAAGAGTCCTTCACTTGGGTGATCAGTGCAGACATGTGTGACAATGCCCACAGTAAGCAGAGCCTAGAGAAGGGTCTCATCACCTGGGTGATCAGTGCAGAGATATTTCACAATGCCCCTGCAGGCAGAGCCTACACAAGTGTTACATCACTTAGGTGATCAGTGCAGAGATATGTCACAATACCCAGTGTAAGCAGAGCCTAGACAAGAGTTACATCACCTGGGTAATCAGTGCAGAGATATGTGACAAGGCCCCTTTAAGGAGTGCCTAGACAATAGTTACATCACCTGGGTGATCAGTGCACAGATATGTGACAATGCCCCTTTAAGCAGAGTCTAGACAATAGTTACATCACCTGAGTGATCAGTGCAGAGATCTGTCACAATGCCCATTTAGGCAGAGCTTAGACAAGAGTTACATCACCTGGGTGATCAGTGCAGAGATATGTCACAATGCCCCCATAGGCAAATCCAAGACAAGAGTCCATACCCTGGGTGATCTGCGCAGAATTATGTGACGATGCCCCCAGTAGGCAGAGCCTTGAAAAGTGTCCTATTACCTGGGTGATCAGTGCAGAGATATTTCACAATGCCCCTGCAGGCAGTGTGTAAGCAAGAGTTACATCACGTAGATGATCAGTGCAGAGATATGTCACAAGACCCCCTATAGGCTGAGCCTGGACAACAGTTACATCACCTGGGTGATCAGTGCAGATTTATCTCACAATACCCCCTGTAAGCAGAGCTTAGACAAGAGTTACATAACCTGGGTGATCAGTGCAGGGATATGTCATAAATCCCACTGTAGGCAAAGCCTAGACAAGTTTTACATCACCTCAGTGATCAGTGCAGAGTTATGTCCCAATGTCCCTTTAGGCAGAGCTTAGACAAGAATCACATCTCCTGGGTGATCAGTGCAGAGATAAGTCACAATGCCCCCGTAGGCAGAGCCTAGAAAAGAGTTACATAACCCGGGTGATCCGTGCAGTGGGATGTCACAACGCCCTCTGTAGGCAGAGAATACAAAAGAGTTACATCACCTGGGTGATCAGTGCAGAGATATGTCACAATGCCACCTGTAGGCAGAGCATAGAGAAGAGTTGCATCACCTGTGTGGTCAATGCAGACATATGTCACAATGTCCCCTGTAGGCAGAGCATGGAGAAGAGTTGCATCACCTGGGTGATCACTGCAGAGATATGTCACAATGTACCCTGTAGGCAAAGCCTAGGCAAGAGTTACATCACCTTTGTCATTGGTTCAGGGATAGGTGAAATCGCCCCTGTAGGCAGAGCCTAGACAAGATTTACATCACCTAGATGATCAGTGCAGAGACATTTCACAATACCGCTTGTAGGCAGATCCTAGACAAGAGTAGAATCACCTGGGTAATCAGGCAGAGATATTTCACAATGCCCCCTTTGGACAGAGGGTAGACAAGAGTTACATAAAAAATGTGATCAGTGCAGAGATTTGTTAAAATTCCCTGTAGGCAGTGTTTATAAAATCGTTACATCACCTAGATGATCAGTGCAGAGATATGACACAATGCTCCTGTAGGCAGAAATTAGATAAGTTACATCACCTGGGTGATCAGTGCAAAGGTTTCTCACAAAGCCCCCTGTAGGCAGAGCCTAAATAATAGTTACATCACTTGGGTCATCATTGGCGAGATCTCTCACAATTTCCCTGTAGGCAGAGCTTATACAACAGTTACGTCACCTGGGTGATCAGTGCAGAGATAAGTCACAATGCGTCCTTAGGCAGATCCAAAGCAAGAGTCTGTCACCTCGGTGATCAGTGCAGAAATATGTCACAATGCCCCCTTAGGCAGAGCCTAGACAAAAGCCTCAAAACCTGGATGATCAGTGCAGAGTTATGTCACAAAATCCCTTTAGGGAGATCCTAGAAAATAGTTACATCACCTGGGTGATCAGTGCAAAGATATGTCACAATGCCACTGTAGGCAGAGCCTAGACAAGAGTTACATGACCTAGGTGATCAGTGCAGAGATACATCGTAATGCCCCTGTAGGCAGAGCCTTGACAAGTGTTATACCACCTGGGTGATCATTGCAGGGATATGTCACAAAGCACCATGTAGGCAGATCGTAGAGAAGAGTTATGTCACCTGTGTGATCAGTGCAGAGATATGTCACAAGCCCCCTGTAGGCAGAGCCTAGACAAGAGTTATATCAACTGGGTGATCAGTGCAGTGATATGTCACAATGCATGTAGAAAGAGCCTAGACTAAAGTTACAACACCTGGGAGATCAGTGCAGAGATATATCACAATGTCCCCATTAGGCAGAGACCAGGGAAGATTTGGATCACCTCGGGATCAGTGCAGAGATATGTCTCAATCCCCCTGTGGGCACAGCCTAGACAAGAGTTACATCACCTCGGTTAACAGTGCAGTGATATGTCAAGGTGCCCCTGTAGGCAGAGCCTACACAAGTGTTACATCACTTAGGTGATCAGTGCAGAGATATGTCACAATACTCCCTCTAAGCAGAGCCTAGACAAGAGTTACATCACCTGGGTGACCAGTGCAGAGATATGTGACAAGGCCCCTTTAAGCAGAGCCTTGACAATAGTTACATCACCTAAGTGATCAGTGCAGAATTCTGTCACAATGCCCCTTTAGGCAGAGCTTAGACCAGAGTTACATCACCTGGGTGATCAGTGCAGTGATATGTCACAATGCCCCCCTAGGCAAATCCCAGATGAGAGTCCGTCACCTGGGTGATCAGTGCAGACATATGTGACAATGCCCCCAGTAGGCAGAGCGTAGAGAAGATTCCCATCACCTGGGTGATCAGTGCAGAGATATTTCACAATGCCCCTGCAGGTAGAGCGTAAGCAAGAGTTACATCACCTAGATGATCTGTGCAGAGATATGTCACAATGCCCCCTAAAAGCAGAGCCTGGACAAGAGTTATATCACCTCAGCGATCAATACAGTGATATGTCACTATGCCCCATAGGCAGAGCCTAGTGAAGCGTTACATCACCTGGGTGATCAGTGTAGAGATGTGTCATAAAACCCCCATACACAGAGCCTAGACAAGAGTCCCATCACCTGGGTGATCAGTGAAGCAATATGTAACAATGCCCCCATACGCATATCCAACAAAATAGTTACATCACCTGTGGGATTAGTGTAGAGATATGTCACAATACCCCCATAGGCCGAGCCTAGATAAAAGTCCCGTCACCTGGGTGATCAGTGCAGAGATATGTTACAAAGCCCCTGTAGGCAGAGCCTAATCAAGTGTTACATCGGTTTGTTGATCAGTTCAGAGATCTGTCATGCTGACTGTTTGCTCCCGGAGCTCTGCGGGCACCTGGAAACATGCAGGGAAGTGTGGAAGACTGGCATGGTGCCTTCGCTCTCCTTGCCAGTTTCCAAACCGGCCATACTGCAGACACCCCATGTTGCCGCACACGGGAATCCATAGTCAGGCCATCACGCCGGGGTGCCATCTTCTCTCTGGGGTCTCGCTCTTGTCTCCTACGTGGAAATAAATGAACGAGAGCCACACGACTGCGTGTGTGAGACTGTCCCGTCAACGGCGACACCCATAAGCACTGCGTCCTCCACGGAGAGAGGGCCTGGAACACTCAAGACTCCCAAGGAGGTTCAGTTCCACACTCCCCTCCACACTCCCAGACCGGTTTCTCCCTGCTGAAGACGTGTGGGAGCCCAGAGAGCGGCTTCCAGTTCCCGCGGGATTCCTGGATATGTCAGGAGAGCCAGCCCCGGAAACGCGACCCCCTCACCCATTCCCCCTCGCCCCCTTCCTCTTCGTCCCACCAGCCCCACCGCCACCATCAACACGCCTTCCCCCTCCCACACCACCACTCCCCGGCCGCAGGCCTCGACGCCCTGGGACCCTTCTGTGGTGAGGCGGGGTGTCCCAGGTTTCACCACCATTCATGAAGCGGTGGAGCCTGCCAGCCTGCGGCCTTTATAAGAGCCGCTGGGTGGCTGTCCGGGCGGGCCTCCTGGCTGCACCTGCCGCAGTGCACAGGGCGGCTGAGGTGCTCGGGAGCCCGCTGGCCTCTCTCTGCCCATGCCGTCCGTGAAATTCCGGCCTGGGCTCCCCGCGATGGCCCTCCCGACACCTTCGAATGGCACCCTCCACCCGGAATCCCAGGGACAGGGACATCGAAGGAGACTCGTTTGGACCCCGAGGCAAAGCGAGGCTCTTTGAGCCTGCTTTGAGCGGAACCCTTACCGGGGCATCCCCACCAGAGAACGGCTGGCCCAGGCCATCGGCATTCCGGAGCCCACGGTCCAGATTTGTTTTCAGAAAGAGAGGTCACGCCAGCTGAGGCAGCACCCGCGGGAATCTCGGCCCTGGCTAGGGAGACACCGCCGGCAAGAAGGCAGGCAAAAGCGGACCGCCGTCAGCGGAATCCAGACCGCCCTGCTCTTCCGAGCCTTTGAGAAGGATCGCTTTCCAGGCATCGCCACCAGGGAAGAGCTGGCCAGAGAGATGGGCCTCCCAGAGTCCAGGATTCAGATCTGGCTACAGGGGTCTTGTGACACCTCTCCGCACTGATCAGCCAGGTGATGTAAACCTTGTCTAGGCTCTGCCAAAATGGGGCATTGTGACATAACTCTGCACTGATCACACAGGTGAAGGGACATTTCTCTAGGCTCTGCCTACAGGGGCATTGTGACATATCTCTGCAGTGATCACGCAGGTGATGTAACTCTTGTCTATATCTGACTACTGGCGGCATTGAGGCATATTTTTGCACTGATCACCCAGGTGATGGACTCTTGTCTTAGATCTGCCTAAGGGGGCATAGTGGCATATCTCTGCACTGATCACGCATGTGATGTAACGCTTGTCTAAGCTGCACTTAAAGGGGAATTGTGAAAGATATCTCCACGGATCACCCAGGTGATGTAACAATTTTCTGGGATTTGTCTACAGCGGGCTTTGTGACATATCTTTGCCCTGATCACCCAGGAGATGTAAATCTTGGCTAGGCTCGGCCTACAGGGGCTTTGTGACATATTTCTCCACTGATCACCCTGGTGATGTAACTGTTATTTAGGTTCTGCCTACAGGGGCTTTGTGACATATCTCTGCAATGATCACCCAGGTGATGTAACTCTCGTCTAGGCTCCACCTACAGGGGGTATTGTGATGTATCTCTGCACTGATCACCCAGGTGAGGTAATTTTTGACTACGCTCTGCCTAAGGGGCACAGTTACATATCACTGCATTGATCACCAAGGTGATGTAACTCTTGTCCACGCTCTGCCTATAGGGGGCTTTGTGACATATCTCTGCACTGATCATCTAGCTGATGTAAGTATTACTTACGCTCTGCATGCAGGGGCATTGTGAAATATCTCTGCACTGATCACACAGGTGATGGGACTCTTCTCTAGGCTCTGCCTACTGTGGGCTTTGTCACATATTTCTGCACTGATCACCCAGGTGACGGACTCTAGTCTTGGATTTGCCTATGGGGGCATTGTGACATATCTCTGCATGGATGACCCAGGTGATATAACTCTTGTCTAGGCTCTCCCTACAGGGTTCTTGTGACATATCCCTGCACTGATCACCCAGGTGATATAACTCTTCTCTAGGATCTGCCTACAGGGTGCTTTGTGACATATCCCTGCAATGATCACACAGGTGATATACCACTTGTCAAAGCTCTGCCTACAGGGGCATTGCTATGTATGTCTGCACTGATCACGTAGGTCATGTAACTCTTGTCTAGGCTCTGCCTACAGTGGCATTGTGACATATCTCTGCACTGATCACCCAGGTGATGTAACTCTGTTCTAGTATCTGCCTGCAGGGTGCTTTGTGACATATCCCTGCAATGATCACCCAGGTGATGTACCACTTGTCAAGGCTCTGCCTAGAGGGACATTGCGATGTATCTCTGCACTGATCACCTAGGTCATGTAACATTGTCTAGGCTCTGCCTACAGTGGCATTGTTGCATATCTATGCACTGATCATCCAAGTGATGTAACCCTTGTCTAGGATCTGCCTAAAGGGATTTTGTGACATAACCCTGCACTGATCATCCATGTTGGGGCTTTTGTCTAGGCTTTGTCTAAGGGGGCATTGTGACATATTTCTGCACTGATCACCCAGGTGAGCAGATTCTTGTCTTGTATCTGCCTAAGGGGGAATTGTGACATATCTCTGCACTGATCACCCAGGTGATGTAACTGTTGTATAAGCTCTGCCTACAGGGGAATTGCGAGAGATCTTGACACTGATCACCCAAGTGATGGAACTATTTTCTAGGCTTTGCCTACAGGGGGCTTTGTGGCATACCTTTGCACTGATCACCCAGGTGATGTAACTCATCTAAGTTCTGCCTACAGGAGCTTTGTGACATATCTCTGCACTGATCACTTAGGTGATGTAACACTTTTATAAGCACTGCCTACAGGGAATTTTGACAAATCTCTGCACTGATCACCTAGGTGATGTAACTCTTTTCTACCGTCTGCCTAAAGGGGACATTGTGAAATATCTCTGCACTGATCACCCAGGTGATTCAACTCTTGTATAGGATCTGCCTACTGCGATGTTTTCACATATCCCTGAACTGATGACAAAGGTTATGTAACTCTAGCCTAGGCTTTGCCTAAAGGGGACATTGTGGCATATCTCTGCACTGATCACCCAGGTGATGCAACTCTTCTCTATGCTCTGCCTACAGGGGACATTGTGACATATCTCTGCACTGATCACCCAGGTGATGCATCTCTTCTCTATGCTCTGCCTACAGGGGGCATTGTGACATATCTCGGCACTGATCACCCAGGTGATGTATCTGTTGTCTAGGCTCTGCTTACAGGGGGTATTGTGACATATCTCTGTACTAATCACCTAAGTGATCTAACAATTTTGTAGGCTCTGCCTACAGGGGCATTTTAACATATCTCTGAACTATTAACTGAGATGAGGTAACTCTTGTCTAGGCTGTGCCCACAGGGGTATTGAGACATATCTCTGCAATGATCCCGAGGTTATCCAAATCTTGCCTGGTCTCTGCCTACCAGGGACATTGTAACATATCTCTGCACTGATTTCCCAGGTGCAGTAACTTTAGCCTAGGCTCAGGCTACACGGCATTGTGACATATCATAGCACTGATCACCCAGGTGATATAACTCTTGTCTAGGCTCTGCCTACAGGGTTCTTGTGACATATCTCTGCACTGATCACCCAGGTGATATAACTCTTCTCTAGGATCTGCCTAGAGGGTGCTTTGTGACATATCCCTGCAATGATCACCCAGGTGATGTACCCCTTGTCAAGGCTCTGCCTACAGGGGCATTGCGATGTACCTCTGCACTGATCACCTAGGTCATGTAACTCTTGTCTAAGCTCTGCCTACAGTGGCATTGTGACATATCTCTGCACTGATCACCGAGGTGATGCAACTCTTCTCTATGCTCTGCCTACAGGGGACATTGTGACATATCTCTGCACTGATCGCGCAGGTGATGCAGCTCTTCTCTATGCTCTGCCTACAAGAGGCATTGTTACATTTCTCTGCACTGATCACCCAGATGATGTAACTCTTTTGTAGTCTCTGCCAAAAGAGGGCGTTGTGACATCACTCTGCACTGATCACCCAGGTTATGTAACTCTTGTCTAGGCTCTGCCTATGGGGGCATTGTGACTTATCTCTGCACTGATCACCAAGGAGATGTGACCCTTGTCTAAGCTCTGCCTTGAGGGATATTGGGACCTATCTCTGCACTGATAGCTCAGGTGATGTAAAACTTGTCTACATTTTGCCTACAGTGGGATTTAGACATATCTCTGCACTGATCACCCAGGTGATGTAACTCTTGTCTATGCTATGCTTACAGGGGCTATTGTGAGATATCTCTGCACTGATCATCCAGGTGATGTAACTCTATTCTAGGCTCTGCCTACAGGGGCAATTTAACAAATCACTTCACTGATCACCGAGATCATGTAACTCTTGTATAGGCTTCCCCGACAGGGGACATTGAGACATATCTCTGCACTGATCACCGAGGTGATGCAACTCTTGTCTGGGATCTGCTTACAGGGGGCATTGTGACATATCCCTGCCCTTATCACCCAGGTGATGTAACTTTTGTCTACGCTCTACCTACTGGAGACATTGTGACATGTCTCCGCAATGATCACCCAGGTGATGTCACTTTTGTCAAGGATATGGCTACTGGACAATGAGACATGTCACTGCACTGATCACACAGCTGATGTAACTCTTGTCTAGGCTCTAGCTACAGTGGGCTTGTGACACATCTCTGCACTGATCACCCAGGTGATGTAACCCTTGTCTAGGCTCTGCCTAAAGGGGGCATTGTGACATAACCCTGCACTGATCACCCAGGTGATGGGACTCTTTTCTAGGCTCTGCATAGAGAGGAACCGTGACATATCTCTGCAGTGATCACGCAGGTGATGTAACTCTTGTCTATATCTGCCTACTGGTGGCATTGTGGCATAATTCTGCACTGATTACCCAGGTGATGGACTCTTGTCTTGGATCTGCTTACGGGAGCATAATGACATATATCTGCACTTATCACTTATGTGATGTAACGCTTGTCTAAGCTGCGCCTAAAGGGGAATTGTGACAGATACCTCCATTGATCACCCAGGTGATGTAACAATTTTCTGGGATTTGTCTACAGGGGGCTTTTTGACATATCTTTGCACTGATCTCCCTGGAGATATAACTCTTGTCTGGGCTTGTCCTACAGGGCCTTTGTGACACATTTCTGCACTGATCACCCAGGTGATGTAACTGTTGTTTAGGTTCTGCCTACAGGGGCTTTGTGACATATCTCTGCACTGATCACCCAGGTGATGTAACTGTTGTCTAGACTCCATCTAAAGGGGGCATTGTGATGTATCTCAGCACTGATCACCCAGGTGATGTAACATTTATCTAGGCTCTGCCTACATGGGCGTTTTGACATAGCTATGCACAGATCACCTAGGTTATGTAACTCTTGTCCACTCTCTGCCTACAGGGGGCATTGTGAAATATCTCTGCACTGATCACCCAGGTGATGGGACACTTCTCTATACTCTGCCTAGAGGGGGATTTGTGACATTGCTCCGGGAGCAAACAGTTAGCCTGGCAAATCTCTGAACTGATAAACAAAGTGATGTAACTGTTGTCTAGGCTCTGCCTAAAGGGGCTTTGTGACATATCTCTGCACTGATCACCCAGGTGATGGGACTTTTGTGTAGGCTCTGCCTATGGGGGCATTGTGAAATATCTCTACACTGATCACCCAGGAGATGGAACACTTGTGTTGGATCTGCCTATGGGGGCATTTTGACATATTTCTGCACTGATCATCCTGGTGATGGGACTCTTCTCTAGGCTCTGTGTATGGGGGCTTTGTGACATATCTCTGCACTGATCACTCAGGTGATGTAATGCTTTACTAGGCTCTACGTACGGGGCATAGTGACCTATCACTTCATAGATCACGGAGGTGATGTAACTCTTCTCCAGGCTCTGCGTATAGGGGGCCTTGTGACATATCTCTGCACTGATCATCTAGGTGATGTAACCCTCTCTTACACTCTGCCTGCAGGGGCATTGTGAAATATCTCTGCACTGATCACCCAGGTGATGGGACTCTTCTCTAGGCTCTGCTTACTGTGGGCATTGTCACATATTTTTGCACTGATCACCCAGGTGACAGTATCTTTTATTGGATTTGCCTATAGGGGCATAGTGAGATATCTCTGCACTGATCACCCAGGTGATGTAACTCTGGTCTAAGCTCTGGCTAAAGGGGCATTGTGACAAATCTCTGCACTGATCACCCAGGCGATGTAACTATTGTCTAGGCTCTGCTTAAAGTGGCCTTGTCACATACCTCTGCACTGATCACCCAGGTGAGGTAACTCTTTTCTAGGCTCTGTTTACAGGAGGTATTGTGAGATAACTCTGCACTGATCACCCAGGTGATGCAACTCTTGTCTAGGCTCTGCCTACAGGAGCATTTTAACAAATCACTGCACTGTTCACCGAGATTATGTAACTCTTGTATAGGCTTCGCCCACAGGGGGCATTGAGACATATCTCTGCACTGATCACTGAGGTGATGCAACTCTTGTCTGGGATCTCCTTACAGGGGGCATTGTGACATATCTCTGCCCTGATCACCCACGTAATGTAACTCTGGTCTAGGCTCTGCCTACAGGAGATATTGTGACATATCTCCGCACTGATCCCCCAGGTGATGTCACTTTTGTCAAGGATATGGTTACAGGGACATGGAGAGCGTCCCTGGAACACTGAAGATTCCCACAGAGGTTCAGTTCTACACTCCCCACCACCCTCCCAGGCCGGTTTCTCCCTGCTGAAGACGTTTGGGAACTCAGAGGGCGGCTTCCAGTTCCCGCGGGATACCTGGGGAGGTCCGGAGAGCCAGCTCCTGAAACGCGCACCCCTCACCACTTCCCCCTCGCCCCCTTCCTCTTCGTCACTCCGGCCCCACCTCCACCATCACCACGCCCTCCCACCCCACACCACCACCCACCGGCAGCAGGACTCAACGCCCTGGGACCCTTCCGGGGTGGGGTAGTCTGTCCCAGGGCTCACCACCATTCATGAAGGGGTGGAGCCTGCCTGCCTGCGGGCCTTTATAAGAGCCACTGGCTGGCTGTCCGGGGAGGCCTCCTGGCTGCACCTGCCGCAGCGCACATGCCAGCTGAGGTGCACGGAATCCCTCCAGCCTCTCTCTGCCCTTGTCCGTCTGTGAAATTCTGACTGGGGCTCCCCGCGATGGCCCTCCCGATACCTTCAGATGGCACCCTCCCCACGGAAGCCCGGGAACGGGGACAGTGAAGGAGACTCGTTAGGACCCCGAGGCAAAGAGAGGCCCTGCAAGCCTGCTTTGAGGGGAACCCATACCCGGACATCGCCACCAGAGAACGGCTGGCCCAGCCCATCGCAATTCCAGAGCCCAAGGTCCAGATTTGGTTTCAGAATGAGAGGTTACGCCAGCTGAGGCAGCACCGGCAGGAATCTCGCCCCTGGCCCGGGAGACGCGGCCCGCAAGAAGGCAGGTGAAAACGGACCGCCTTCACCGGATCCCAGACCACCCTGCTCCTCCGAGCCTTTGAGAAGGATCGCTTTCCAGGCATCGCCGCCAGGGAAGAGATGGCCAGAGAGACGGGATTCCTGGAGTCCTGGATTCAGATCTGGCTTCAGAATCGTAGGGCCAGGCACCCGGGACAGGCTGGCAGGGCACCCTCACAGGCAGGCGGCCTGTACAACGGGGCCCCCGGCGGGTGTCACCCTGCTCCCTTGTGAGTCGCCTTCACCCACACTGGTGCATGGGGAACTGGGCTTCCCGCACCCTACGTGCCCTGAGCACCTGGGGCTCTCCCAAAGGTGGCTTTCATGATCCAGGGAGCGAGGGCCGTCCCCCTGCTCCAGCCCAGCCAGGCCGCGCCGGCAGAGGGGACCTCACAACCAGCCCCGGCACGCGGGGATTTTGCCTACGCCGCCCTGGCTCCTCCAGAAGGGGCGCTCTCCCACTCTCAGGCTCCTCAGTGTCCTCCGCACCCGGGCAAAAGCCGGGAGTACAGGGACCCGCAGTGCGACGGCCTGCCAGGCCCTTGCGCAGTGGGACAGCCTGGGCCCGCTCAAGCGGACCACAGGGCCGAGGTGTGCTTGCACCACCCGCGTCCCAGGGGAGTCCGTGGTGGGGCTGAGTTCGGGTTCCCCAGGTCGCCGGGGTGACGTGGGAACCCAAAGCCGGGGCAGCTCCACCTGCCAGCCCGCGCCCCCAGATGCCTCCGCGCGGCAGGGGTAGATGCAAGGCATCATGGCGCCCACCCAGGTGCTCCAGGATCCGGGGCGCTCGTCGGCACTCCCCTCCGGCCTGCTGCTGGATGAGCTCCCGGCGAGCCCAGAGTTTCAGCAGCAGGCGCAGCTTTCCTAGAAACCGAGGCCCCAGGGGAGCTGGAGGCCTTGGAAGAGGCCACCTCGCTGGAAGCGCCCCTGAGTGTGGAATAATACCGGGCTCTGCTGGAGGAGATTCAGGACCCCGGGTCGGGACGGGATCAGGTCGGGGCAGGGCGGTGGCCTCTCTTTCACGGCTAACACCTGGCTGGCTATGGATTGGCATGTCTTCCCCCTGCCCCCTCCACCGGGCTGACTGGCCTGGGATTCCTGCCTTCTAGGTCTAGGCCCAGTGAGTGGCTCCACCCAGCAGAGACCTGCCATTCTTTCCTGGGCATCACAGGGATCCCAGAGCCGGCCCAGGTACTAGCAGGTGGGCTCCCTACTGCGCACGCGCGGGTTTGCGGGCAGCCGCCTGTGCTGTGGGAGCAGCACATCCCATGACTTTCCACCATCCCATCCCCGCCTGACCACCACCTCCCCACCCCCACCCCGCACACCCGGAAAATGCATCGTCCCCTGGGCTAGGTGGAGACCCCCTTCCCGGAAAACACTGAGCCCATGCAGCGTCCAGGCCTGACAACCCTCCGGCGGCTCCCCTACTCTGCATCTCTGCGCCACCGTCGCTGGCCAGCCAGTGAACCTGCAGCCTCCCAGCTGCCACCATACAGAGCTTGGCGGTGGAACCCAGATATCTAGCTCTCTTTGCCAGCCTCCTGGCTAGACCTGCGCTAATTGCGCACCCCGGCTGATGTGCAAGGGAGCCCGCTGGCCTCTCTGTGCCCTTGTCCTTCTGTGAAATTCCAGCTGAGGCTCTCCCAACACCTTCCAACGCTCTTTAGTCAAAGCCTAGAGAATAGTTACAACTCCTGGATGATCAGTTCAGAAATATGTCACAATGTCCCCTCCCTGCGGAGCCTAGAGAAGATTTGCATCATTTGGGTGATCAGTGCAGAGATTTATCACAATGTCCCCCATAGAAAAAACCTGAAAATGATTTACATCACCTCGGTGATCAGTGCATAGGTATGTCAGAAATCCCCAGTAGGCTGAACTTAGACAAGGGTTATATCACTTAGGAGATCAGTGTAGAGATATGTGAAAATTCCCGTGTAGACAGAGCCTAGACAAGTGTTACATCACCTAGTGATCAGTGCAGGGATAAGTCATAAAGCCTCCTGTAGGCAGAGTGTAGACAAGTGTTTCCTCCCTGTGGTGATCAGTGCAGAGATATGTCACAAAGCCCCTATAAGCAGAACCTCGACACGGGTTACATCACCTGTTTGATCAGTGGAAATGTATAACGCAAAGCCCCCTGTAAGCAAAGCCCAGACAATTGTTACATCAGCTGGGTGAGCAGTGGAGTAATCTGTCACAATGCCCCTGTAGGCAGAGCTTTGACAAGGGTTACATCACCTGCGTGATCAGTGCAGAGATATGTCGAAACGCTCCTGTAGGCTGAACCGAGACAGGAGTTACATCACCTGGGTGATCAGTGCAGAGATATGTGAGAATTCCCGTTTAGGCAGAGCCTAGACAAGTGTTACATCAACTAGGTTATCAGTGCAGGTATAAGTCATAAAGCCTCCTGTAGGCAGAGAATAGACAAGAGTTCCCTCCCCAGGGTGATCAGTGCAGAGAAGTGTCACATAGCCCCTGAAGGCAGAGCCTAGACAAGAGTTTCATCACTTGGTTGATCAGTTCAGAGATGTGTCATAATGTCCATGTAGGCAGATCTAAGACAAGAGTCCATCACCTGGGTGATCAATGCAGAGATATGTACCAATGTCCCCGGTAGGCCGTGCCTAGACAAGAGTTGCATCACCTCAGAGATCAGTGCATGGATATGTCACAAAGCCTTCTGTAGGCAAAGACCATACAAGGCTTACATCACCTAGGTGATGAGTGCAGTGATATGTCACAAAAATCCCAGTAGACAGAGCCTAGACAAGGGTTACATCACCTGGGTTATCAGTGCAGATATTTGACACAATGCACCCATAGACAGAGCCTAGAGAAGACTTCCATCACCTGCGTGATCAGTGCAGAGATATGTCACAATGCCCTCTGTAGGCAGAGCATAGAGAAGAGTTGCATCACCTGGGTGATCACTGCAGAGATATGTCACAATGTCCCCTGTAGGCAAAGCCTAGGCAAAAGTTACATCACCTTTGTCATCAGTTCAGGGATATGTGAAAACGCCCCTGTAGGCAGAGCCTAGACAAGAGTTACATCACCTAGTTGATCAGTGCAGAGATATTTCACAATGCCCTGTGTACGCAGATCCTAGACAAGAGTTGAATCACCTGGGTGATCAGTACAGAGATATTTCACAATGCCCCCTTTGGGCAGAGGGTAGACAACAGTTATATCACCTAGGTGATCAGTGCAGAGACTTGTCAAAATTCCCTGTAGGCAGTGCTTACAAAATTGTCACATCACCTAAGTGATCAGTGCAGAGATATGTCACAAAGCTCCTTTAGGCAGAACTTAGATGAGTTACGTCACCTGGGTGATCAGTGCAAAGGTATGTCACAAAGCCCCCTGTAGGCAAATCCTAGACTATCGTTACATCATTTGGGTAATCAGTGGCGAGATCTCTCACAATTTCCCCGTAGGCAGAGCTTATACAACAGTTACATCACCTGGGTGATCACTGCAGAGATATGTCACTATGCCCCCATAGGCAGATCCAAGACAAGAGTCCGTCACCTGGGTGACCAGTGCAGAAATATGTCACAATTCCCCCTTAGGCAGAGCCTAGACAAAAGCCCCATCACTTGGATGATCAGTGCAGAGTTATGTCACAAAATCCCTTTAGTCAGATGCTAGACAAGAGTTATATCACTTGGATGATCAGTGCAGAGATATGTCACAAAGCCACTGTAGACAGAGCCTAGACAAGAATTACATGACCTAGGTGATCAGTGCAGAGATACATCACAATATCCCTGTAGGCAGAGCCTTGACAAGTGGTACATCACCTGGGTGATCATTGCAGGGATATGTTCCAAAGCTCCCTGTAGGAAGATCCTAGAAAAGAGTTACATCACCTTGGTGATCAGTGCAGAGATATGTCACAATGCCACTGTAGGCATAGCCTAGACAAGAGTTACATGACCTATCTGATCAGTGCAGAGATACATCGCAATGCCCCTGTAGGCAGAGCCATGACAAATGGTGTATCACCTGGGTGATCATTGCAGGGATACGTCACAAAGCACCTTGTAGGAAGATCCTAGAGAAGAGTTATATCACCTGGGTAATCAGTGCAGAGATATGTCACAAGCCCCCTGTAGGAAGAGCCTAGACAAGAATTATATCACCTGGGTGGTCATTGCAGTGATATGTCACAAGGCCGTGTAGCCAGAGCCTAGACTAAAGTTACAGCACCTGGGAGATCAGTACAGAGATATGTCACAATGTACACAGTAGGCAGAGACCAGGCAAGATTTGGATCACCTCGGGATCAGTGCAGAGATATGTCTCAATCTCCCTGTGGGCACAGCCTAGACAAGAGATACATCACCTCGGTTAACAGTGCAGAGATATGTCAAAATGCCCCTGTAGGCAGAGCCTACACAAGTGTTACATAACTTAGGTGATCAGTGCAGAGATATGTCACAATACACCCTGTAAATAGGGCCTAGACAAGAGTTACATCACCTGGGTGATCAGTGCAGAGACCTGTTACAATGCCCCGTTAGGCAGAGCTTAGACCAGGGTTACATCACCTGGGTGATCAGTGCAGAGATATGTCACAATGCCCCCATAGGCAAATCCAAGACCATAGTCCGTCACCTGGGTGATCAGTGCAGACATCTGTGACAATGCCCCCAGTAAGCAGAGCCTAGAGAAGGGTCCCATCACCTGTGTGATAAGTGCAGAGGTATTTCACAATGCCCCTGAAGGCAGAGCATAAGCAAGAGTTACATCCCCTAGGTGATCACTGCAGAGATATGTCACAAGGCCCCCTATAGCTAGAGCCTGGACAAGAGTTTTATCACCTCGGTGATCAATGCAGTGATATGTCACTATACCCCGTAGGCGGAGCCTAGTGAAGCGTTCCATCACCTGGGTGATCAGTGCAGAGTTATGTCACAAAGCCCCCATACACAGAGCAAAGAAAAGAGTCCCAACACCTGGGTGATCAGTGCAGAAATATGTCACAATTCCCCCATAGGCAGATCCAACACAAGAGTTCCATCACCTGGGTGATCAGTGTAGAGATGTGTCACAATGCCCCCATAGGCAGAGCCTAGACAAGAGCCCCATCACCTGAGTGATCAGTGCAGAGATATGTCACAAAGCCCCTGTAGGCAGAGCCTAGAAAAGAGTTACTTTACTTTGTTGATCAGTTCAGAGATGTGTCATGCTGACTGTTTGCTCCCGTATCTCTGCGGGCACCCGGATACAGGCAGGGAAGGGTGGAAGACTGGCATGGTGCCTTCTCTCTCCTTGCCAGTTTCCAAACCGGCCACACTGCAGCCTCCCCATGTTGCCACACTTGGGAATCCATCATCAGGCCATCATGCCAGGGAGGCATCTTCTCTCTGGTGTCTCGCTCTGCTCTCCTACGTGGAAATGAACGAGAGCCATACGCTTGCGTGTGTGAGACTGTCCCGGCAATGTCGACACCCACAGGCACTTCCTCTTTCACGGAAAGAAGGCCTGTAACACTCCAGACTCCCACGGAGGTTCACTTCCACACTCCCCTCCACCCTCCCACGCTGGTTTCTCCCTGCTGAAGACGCATGGGAGCCCAGAGAGCGGCTTCCAGTTCCCGGGAGATTCCTGGGGAGGTCCGGAGAGCCACCACCAAAACACAACACCCTCACCGCTTCCCCCTCACCCCCTTCCTCTTCGTCTCTCTGGCCCCACCACCGCCATCACCACACACTCACTCCCCACCACACCACCCCTCGGCTGCAGGCCTCAACGCCCTGGGACCCTTCTGGGGTGGGGCAGGCTGTCCCAGGGCTCACCGCCATTCAAGAAGGGGTGGATCCTGCCTGCCCACGGGCCTTTATAAGAGCCGCTGGCTGGCTGTCCGGGCAGGCCTCCTGGCTGCACCTGCCACAGTGCACAGGCCGGCTGACGTGCGCGGGTGCCCGCCGGCCTCTCTCTGCCCGTGTCCGTCTGTGAAATTCCGGCCGGGGATACCCGCGATGGCCCTCCCGACACCTTCGAACGGTGCCCTCCTCGTGGAAGCCCGGGGATGGGGCCGGCAAAGGAGACTTGTTTGGACCCCGAGCCAAAGTGAAGCCATGCGAGCCTGCTTTGAGTGGAACCCGTGCCCGGGCATCGCCACCAGAGAATGGCTGGCCCAGGCCATCGGCATTCCAGAGCCCAGGTTCCAGATTTGTTTTCAGAATGAGATATCACGCCAGCTCAGGCAGCACCGGAGGGAATCTTGGCCCTGGCCCAGGAGACGCGGCCGGCAAGAAGGCAGGCGAAAGCGGACCACCGTCACCGGATCCCAGACCGCCCTGCTCCTCGGAGCCTTTGAGAAGGATCGCTTTTCAGGCATCGCCGCCAGGGAAGAGCTGGCCAGAGAGACGGGCCTACCGGAGTCCAGGATTCAGATGTCGTTTCAGAATCGAAGGGCCAGGCACCCGGGACAGGCTGGCAGGGCTCCCGCAGAGGCAGTGGCCTGTGCAATGCGGCCCCCGACGGGTGTCACCGTGCTCTCTTCTTTGTCGCCTTTTCCCACACCAGCGCATGGGAAATGGGGCTTCCCACACCCCACTTGCCCTGCGCACCTGGGGCTCTCCCACAGGGGGCTTTCTTGAGCCAGGGAGCAAGGGCCGTCCACGTGCTCCAGCCCAGCCTGGCCGCGCCGGCAGAGGGGATCTCCCATCCTGCCCCGGCTCGCGAGGACTTTGCCTATGCTGCTCCGGCTCCTATGGAATGGGCGTTCTCTCACCCTCAGGCTCCTCGGTGGCCTCTGCACCCGGGCAAAAGCCAGGAGGACCGGGTCCCGCAGCGCGACGGCCTGCCGGGCCCTTGCACGGTGGGACAGCCTGCATCCGCTCAAGTGGGGCCACAGGGCCAAGGTGTGCTTGCACCACCCGCGTCCCAGGGGAGTCCGTGGTGGGGTTGCGGCCGGGGTCACTAGGTCGCCGGGGCGGGGTGGATATCCCAATCCGGGACAGCTCCACCTCGCCAGCCCGCGCCCCCGGAGGCCTCCGCGTGGCAGGGGCAGATGAAAGGCATCCCGGCGCCAACCCAGGCGCTCCAGGAGCTGGGGCGCTCGTCAGCACTCCCCGCTGGCCCGCTGCTGGATGAGCTCCAGGCAAGCCCGGAGTTTCTGCAGCAGGCGCAACCTTTCCTAGAAACGGAGGCCCCGGGGGAGCTGGAGGCATTGGGAGAGGCCGCCTCGCTGGAAGCACCCCTTAGCGAGGAAGAATACCGAGCTCTGCTGGAGGAGCTTTAGGACCCGACGTTGGGACGGGGTCGGTTCGGGGCAGGGCTGTGGCCTCTCTTTCGCGGGGAACACCTGGCTGGCTATGGAAGGGTGTGCCTTCCTCCCGCCCCCTCCATCGCCCTGACGGGCCTGGGATTCCTGCCTTCTAGGTCTAGGCCCGGTGAGAGGCTCCACACAGCGGAGAACTGCCATTCTTTCCTGGGCGTTCCGGGGATCGCGGAGCCGGCCCAGGTGCCAACAAGTGGGCCGCCTACTGCGCACGCGCGGTTTGGCAGCCAGCCGCCTGGTCTGTTGGAGCAGCCGGGGAGAGCTCTCATGCCTTTCCACCACCCCACCCCCGCCTGACCAGCCCCATCCCACCCCCACCCCCCACTCACGGAAAATGCTTCCACCCCTGGGCTGGGTAGACACCCCTTCCCGCGAAATATCGGGCCCGTGCAGCGTCAAGACCTGACACCCTTCCAGCGGCTTGCCTCCTCTGCACCTCCGCGCCAATGTCGCTGACTCGCCCGTGCCCCTCCAGCTTCACAGCTGCCACCATGGAGGGCCTGGCGGGGCAATGCAGACCTCTAGCTCTCTTTGCCGGCCTCCTGGCTAGATCTGCGCTCATTGAGCACCCCGGCTGCCGTGCAAGGGAGCCCGCTGACCTCTCCGTGCCCTTGTCCGTCTGTGAAATTCGGGCTGAGGTTCTCCCAACACCTTCCAACGCTCTTTAGTCAAAGCATGGAGAATAGTTACATCTCCTGGATGATCAGTTCAGAAATATGTCACAATGCCCCCTCCATTCAGAGCCTGGAAAAGATTTGCATCATTTGGGTGATCAGTGCAGAGATGTATCACAATGTCCCCTGTACAGAAAGCCTGGGAACGATTTACATCACCATGGTGATCAGTGCATAGATATGTCAGAAATCCCCAGTAGGCTGAACCTAGACAAGGGTTACATCCTTTAGGTGATCAGTGTAGAGATGTGTGAAAATTCCCGTGTAGACAGAGCCTAGACAAGTGTTATGTCACCTAGTGATCAGTGCAGGGATAAGTCGTAAAGACTCCTGTAGGCAGAGTTTAGAAAAGTGTTTCATCCCTGGGGTGATCAGTGCAGAGATATGTCACAAAGCTCCTGTAAGCAGAACCTTGACAAGTCTTACTTCACCTGTTTGATCAGTGGAAATGTATATCATAAAGCCCCCAGTAGGCAAAGCCCGGACTATTGTTAAATCACCTGGGTGAGCAGTGGAGAGATCTGTCACAATGCCCCTGTAGGCAGAGCTTAGATAAGGGTTACATCACCTGGGTGATCAGTGCAGAGATATGTCAAAAGGCTCCCCTGGGCTGAACCTAGACAGGAGTTACATCACCCGGGTGATCAGTGCAGAGATTTGTGAGAATTCCCGTGTAGGCAGGGCCTAGACAATTGTTACATCACCTAGGTTATCAGTGCAGGCATAAGTCATAAAGCCTCCTGTAGGCAGAGTGTAGACAACTCTTCCCTCACCAGGGTGATCATTGCAGAGATGTGTCACAAAGCCCCTGTAGGCAGAGCCTAGACAAGAGTTTCATCACTTGGTTGATCAGTTCAGAGATGTGTCAAAATGTCCATGTAGGCAGATCTAAGAGAAGAGTCCATCACATGGGTGATCAGTGCAGAGATATGTACCAATTTCCCCTGTAGGCAGTGCCTAGACGCGACTTGCATCACCTCAGAGATCAGTGCATAGGTATGTCACAAAGCCTTCTGTAGGAAAAGCCCATACAAGGCTTACATCACCTAGGTGATCAGTGCAGTGATGTTTCACAAAAAATCCTGTAGACAGAGCCTAGAAAAGAGTTACATCACCTGGGTGATCAGTGCAGATATTTGACACAATGCCTCCATAGACAGAGACTATAAAAGACTTCCATCACCTGGGTGATCATTGAAATGATATGTTACAAATCCCCTTCTAGGCAGAGTATAGAGAACAGTCCCATCACCTGGGTGATCAGTGCAGAGATATTTCCCAATTCCCCCTGTAGGCAGAGAGTGGGCAAGAGTTAAATAACCTAGGTGATCTGTGCAGAGCTATGTCAAAACGTCCCGGAAGGCAGAGCCTAGATAAATGTTGCATCAGCTGGGTGATAAGTGCAGAGATACGTCACAATACCCCCTGTATGTGGAGCCTAGACAAGAGATACATCAACTGGGTGATCAGTGCAGAGATATGTAACAAAGCCCCTGTAGGCGGAGCCTAGACAGAGTTACATCACCTGGGTTATCAGTGCAGAAATATATCACAAAGCCCCTGTAGGCCGAGCCTAGACAAGAGTTACATCTCCTAGGTTATCAGTGCAAAGATATGTCACAAAGCCCCCTGTAGACAAATCCCAGAAAGTTGTTACATCACCTGGGTGATCAGTGGAGGTATCTGTCAAAATTCCCCTTTAGGCGCAGCTTAGACAAGCCTTACATCACATGAGTGATCAGTGTAGAGTTATGTCACTATGCCCCCATAGGCAGATCCAAGACAAGAGTTCATCACCTGCGTGATCAGTGCAGAAATATGCCACAATGCTGCCAGTAGGCAGATATAGAAAAGACTTAAATCAGCTGCGTGATCATTGCAGAGATATGTCACAATGCCCCTGTAGGCAGACCCTAGACAAGAGTCCCATCAGCTTGGTGATCAGTGCAGAGTTATGTCACAATGCCCCTGTAGCCAGAGCCTAGACAAGCGTTACATCAGCTGTGTGATCAGTGCAGTGACATGTCACAATGTCCATGTAGCCTTATCCTTGGCAAAAGTGACATCACCTGGGTGATCAGTGCGGAGATATATCACAATGTCTCCAGTAGGCAGAGCCTAGACAAGAGTTACATCACCTGGGTGATCAGGGCAGAGATATGTCACAATGCCCCCTCTAAGCAGATCCCAGACAATAGTTGCATCACCTCGGTGATCAGTGCAGAGATATGTCTCAATGCCCCCTGTCGGTGAAGCCTATACATGAGTTACACCACCTCGGTGATCAGTGCAGTGATATGTTAAAATGCCCCTGTAGGCAGAGCTTAGACAAAAGTTACATAACCTGGGTGATCAGTGCAGAGATATGTTCTAAATTCCACTGTAGGCAAAGCCTAGACAAGTTTTACATCACCTCAGCGATCAGTGCAGAGATATGTCCCAATGTCCCTCTAGGCAGAGCTTAGACAGGAGTCACATCTCCTGGGTGATCAGTGCAGAGATAAGTCACAAGGCCCCCGTAGGCAGAGCGTAGACAAGAGTTACATAACCCGGGTGATCTGTGCAGAATGATGTCACAACGACCTCTGTAGGCAGAGACTAGAAAAGAGTTACATCACCTGGGTGATCAGTGCAGAGATATGTCACAATGCCCCCATAGGCAGATCCAAGACAAGAGTCCGTCACGTGGGTGATCAGTGCAGAAATATGTCACAATGCCCCCTTAGGCAGAGCCTGGACAAAAGCCCCATCACCTGTATGATCAGTGCAGAGTTATGTCACAAACTCCCTTTAGGCCGACCCTAGACAAGGGTTACATTACTTGGATGATCAGTGCAGAGATATGTCACAATGCCCCTGTAGGCAGAGCCTAGACAAGTGTTACATTACCCAGGTACTCAGTGCAGAGATACATCTTAATGTCCCTGTAGGCAGAGACTTGACAAGAGGTATATCACCTGGGTGATCACTGCAGGGATATGTCACAAAGCACCCTGTACGCAGATCCTAGAGGAAAGATATAAAACCCGGGTGAACAGTGCAGAGATATGTCACAATGCCCCCATAGGCAAATCCAAGACAAGGGTCCGTCACCTGGGTGATCAGTGCAGAAATATGTGACAATGCCCCCAGTAGGCAGAGCCTATAGAAGAGTCCCATCACCTGGGTAATCAGTGCAGAGATATTTCACAATGCCCCTGCAGGCAGAGCGTAAGCAAGAGTTACATCACCAAGATGATCAGTGCAGAGTTATGTCACAAGGCCCCCTATAGGCAGAGCTTGGACAGGAGTTACATCGCCTTGGTGATCGATGCAGTGATATGTTATTATACCCCATAGGCAGAGCCTAGTCAAGCGTTACATCACGTGGGTGATCAGTGCAGAGATATGTCACAAAGCCCCCATACACAGATCCTAGACAAGAGACCCATCACCTGAGTGATCAGTGCAGAAATATGTCACAATGCCCCCATAGGCAGATCCAACACAAGAGTTACATCACCTGGGTGATCAATGTAGAGGTATGTCACAATGCCCCCATAGGCAGAGCCTAGACAAGCGTCCCATCACCTGGGTGATCAGTGAAGAGATATATCACAAAGCCCCAGTAGGCAGAGCCTAGACAAAAGTTACATCACTTTGTTGATCAGTTCAGAGATGTGTCATGCTGACTGTTTGCTCCCGGAGCTCTGCAGGCACCCGGAAACATGCAGGGAACGTTAGAAGATCATCATGGTGCCTTCGCTCTCCTTTCCAGTTTCCAAACCGGCCACACTGCAGACTCCCCATGTTGCCGTACACCGGAATCCATCATCAGGCCATCACGCCGGGGAGGCATCTTCTCTCTGGGGTCTCGCTCTGGTCTCCTAAGTGGAAATGAACGAGAGTCCCACGCCTGCCTGTGTGAGACTGTCCTGGCAACGGCGACACCCACAGGCACTGACTACTTCACGGAGACAGGGCCTGGAACACTCAAGACTACCACGGAGGTTCAGTTCCACACTCCCCTCCACCTTCCCAGGCCAGTTTCTCCCTGCTGAAGACGCGTGGGAGCCCAGAGAGCGGCTTCCAGATCCCACGGGTTTCCTGTAGTGGTCCGGATAGCCAGCCCCCGTAACGCGCCCGCCTCACACCTTCCCCCGTGCCCCCTTCCTCTTCGTCTCTCTGGCCCCACCACTACCATCACCACGCCCTCCACCCCCACCCAACCACCCCACCCGCCGCAGGCTTTGATGCCCTGGGACCAATCTGAGGTGGGGCGGGCTGTCCCAGGGCTCACCGCCATTCATGAAGTGGTGGAGCCTGCCTGCCTGTGGGCCTTTATATGAGCCAGTGGCTGGTAGTCCGGGCAGGCCTCCTGGCTGCACCTGCGGCAGTGCACAGGCCAGCTGAGGTGCACGGGAGTCCGCCGTCCTCTCTCTGCACATGCCGTCCATGAATTTCTGGCTGGGGATCCCCGTGTTGCCCCTCCTGACACCTACGGACAGCACCCTCTCCGCGGAAAGCCGGGGACGGAGACAGCGACGGAGACTCCTTTGGAACCCGAGCCAAAGCGAGGCCCTGCGAGCCTGCTTTGAGCGGAAGATGTACCCGGGCATCGCCACCAGAGAATGGCTGGCCCAGGCCATCGGCATTCCAGAGCCCAGGGTCCAGATTTGGTTTCAGAATGAGAGGTCACGCCAGCTGAGGCAGCACGGGTGGGAATCTCGGCCCTGGCCCAGGAGACGCGGCCCTGAAGAAGGCAGGCGAAAGCGGACCGCCGTCACCGGATCCCACACCGCCCTGCTCCTCCGACAGTTTGGGAAGGAACGCTTTCCAGGCCCGCCGCCAGGGAAGAGCTGGCCAGAGAGACGGGCCTCCCGGAGTCCAGGATTCAGATCTGGTTTCAGAATAGAAGGGCCAGGCACCCAGGACAGGCTGGCAGGGCGCCCCCGCAGGCAAGCAGCCTATGCAACGTGGCCCCCGGCCTTTGTCACCCTGCTCCCTCGTGGGTCGCCTTCACCCACACTGGCACGTGGGGGACGGGGCTTCCCGCACCCCACGTTCCCTGCGCGCCTGTGGCTCTCCCACAGGGGGCTTTCGTGAGGCAAGGAGCGAGGGCCGTCCCCGTGCTCCAGCGCAGCCAGGCCGGGCTGGCAGATGGGATCTCCCAACATGTCCTGGCATGCAGTGATATTGCCTACGAGGCCCCGGCTACTCCAGAAGGGGCGCTCTCCCAGCCTCAGTCTCCTCGGTGGCCTCCACACCCGGGCAAAAGCCAGGAGGACTGGGACCCACAGCGCGACAGCCTGCCGGGCCCTTGCACGTTGGGACAGCCTGGGCCTGCTGAAGCAGGGCCACAGGGCCAAGGTGTGCCTGCACCACCCGTGTCCCAGGGGAGCCTGTGGTGGGGCTGCGGCCGGAGCCCCAAGCTCACCATGGTGGCATGGGAACCCCAAGCCGGGGCAACTCCACCTCGCCAGCCGACGCCCCCGGAGGACTCCGCGTGGCAGGTGCAGATGCACGGCATCCTGGCGCCCTCCCAGGATCTCCAGGAGCCGGAACGCTCGTCTGCACTCCCTTCTGGCCTGCTGCTGTATGAGCTCCTTGTGAGACTGGAGTTTCTGCAGCAGGCACAATCTTTCCTAGAAACGGAGGCCGCGGGGGAGCTGGAGGCCAAGGAAGAGGCCGCCTTGCTGGAACCACCCATCTTCGAGGAAGAATACCGTGCTTTGCTGGAGGAGCTTTAGGACGCGGGGTTGGGACAGGGTCAGCTCCTGGCAGGGCGGTGGCTTCTGTTTCGCGGGGAACACCTGGCTGGCTATGGAAAGGTGTGTCTTCCCCCCACCCCCTCCACCGGGCTGACCAGCCTGGGGTTCCTGCCCTCTAGGTCTAGACACGGTGAGAGGCTCCACAAAGCGGAGAAATACCATTCTTTCCTGGGCATCCCAGGGATCCCACAGTCGGCACAGGTACCAGCAGGTGGGCCGCCTACTGCGCACGCGCGGGTTTGCGGGCAGCTGCCTGGGCTGTGGGAGCAGCCCGGGCAGAGCTCTCATGCCTTTCCACAACCCCACACCCACCTGACTACCCCCCAACCCCCACACCCCAACACCGGAAAATGCGTCCTCCCCTGGGCTGGGTGGAGACCCACGTCCCTCAAAACACTGGGACCGTGCAGCATCCGGGCCTGACACCCCTCCGGCGGCTCGCCTCCTCTGTGCCACCACGCCACCGTCGCCGGCCCGCCCGTGCCCCTGCAGCCTCCCAGCTGCCACCATGGAGGGCCTTGCTGTGGAACGCAGACCTCTAGCTCTCTTTGCTGGGCTCCTGGCTAGACCTGCGCTCATTGTGCACTCTGGCTGACTTGCAAGGGAGCCCGCTGCTCTCTCTGTGCCCTTGGCCATCCGTGAAATTCCAGCTGAGGCTCTCCAAACACCTTCCGACGAACTTTAGTCAAAGCCTGTAGAATAGTTACATCTCCTGGATGATCAGTTCACAAATAAGTCACAATGCCCCCTCCCTGCAGAGCTTAGAGAAGATTTGCATCATTTGGGTGTTCAGCGCAGAGATAAATAACAATGTCCCCTGTACAAAAAGCCTGGAAATGATTTACATCACCTCGGTGATCAGTGCATAGGTATGTCAGAAATCCCCAGTAAGCTGAACCTAGACAAGGGTTACATCACTTAGGTGATCAGTGTAGAGATATGTGAAAATTCCCATGTAGACAGAGCCTAGACAAGTGTTACATCACCCAGTGATCATTGCAGGGGTAATTCGTGAAGCCTCCTTTAGGCAGAGTGTAGACAAGTGATTCCTCTCTGGGGTGATCAGTGCATAGATATGTCACAAAGCCCCTGTAAGCTGAACCTTGACCAGGGTTACATCACCTGTTTGATCACTGGATATGTATATCACACAGCCCCCTGTAGGCAAAGCCCAGACAATTGTCACATCACCTGAGTGAGCAGTGGAGAGATCTGTCACAATGACCCTGTAGGCAGAGCTTAGACAAGTGTTACATCACCTGGGTGATCAGTGCAGAGATATGACAAAACGCTCCTGTAGGCTAAACCTAGACAGGAGTTACATCACCCAGGTGATCAGGGCAGAGATATGTGAGAATTCCCGGGTAGGCAGAGCCTAGACAAGTGTTACATCACCTAGGTTATCAGTGCAGGTATAAGTCATAAAGTCTCCTGTAGGCAGAGTGTAGACAAGAGTTACCTCCCCAGGGTGATCAGTGCAGAGATGTGTCACAAAGCCCCTGTAGCAGAGCCTATACAAGAGTTTCATCACTTGGTTGATCAGTTCAGAGATGTGTCACAATGTCCATGTAGACAGATCTAAGACAAGAGTCCATCACCTGGGTGATCAGTGCAGAGATATGTACCAATGGCCCTGTAGGTTGGGCCTAGACAAGAGTTGCATCACTTCAGAGATCATTGCATAGATATGTCACAAAGCCTTCTGTAGGCAAAGTCCATATAAGGCTTACAACACCTAGGTGATCAGTGCAGTGATATGTCACAAAAATCCCTATAGACAGAGCCTAGAAAGAGTTACATCACCTTTGTGATCAGTGCAGATATTTGACACAATGCCCCCAAAGACAGAGCCTAGAAAAGAGTTACATCACCTGGGTGATCAGTGCAGATATTTGACACAATGCCCCCATAGACAGAGCCTAGACAAGACTTCCATCACCTGGGTGATCAGTGCAGAGATATGTCACAAATCCCCCTCTAGGCAGAGTATCGAGAAGAGTCCCATCACCTGGGTGATCAGTGCAGAGATATTTCACAATGCCCCCTGTAGGCAGAGAGTGGACAAGAGTTACATAACCTAGGTGATCTGTGCAGAGCTATGTCAAAACGCCCCTGTTGGCTGAGCATAGATAAATGTTACATCACCTGGGTGATCTGTGCAGATACGTCACAATAGCCCCTGTAGGTGTAGCCTAGACAAGAGTTACATCACCTGGGTGATCAGTGCAGAAATATGTCACAAAACCCCTGTAGGCAGAGCCTAAACAAGAGTTACATCACCTGGGTTATCAGTGCTGAAATATGTCACAAAGCTCCTGTAGGCCGAGCCTAGACAAGAGTTACATCTCCTGGGTGATCAGTGCAAAGGTATGTCACAAAGCTCCCTGTAGACAAATCCCAGAAAATTGTTACATTACCTGGGTGATCAGTGGAGGTATCTGTCACAATTCCCCTTTAGGCGCAGCTTAGACAAGCATTATATCACATAAGTGATCAGTGCAGAGATATGTCACTATGCCCCCATAGGCAGATCCAAGACAAGAGTCCATCAACTGGGTGATCAGTGCAGAAATATGCCACAATGCCGCCAGTAGGCAGATATAGACAAGAGTTACATCACCTGCGTGATCACTGCAGAGATATGTCACAAAACCCCAGTAGGCAGAGCGTAGACAAGAGTCCCATCACCTGGGTGATCAGTGCAGAGTTATGTCACAATGCCCCCTTTTGGCAGGCCTAGACAAGGGTTACATCACCTGGGTGATCAGTGCAGAGATGTGTCACAAGCCCCCTGTAGCCAGAGCGTTGACAAGTGTTACATCAGCTGTGTGATCAGTGCAGTGACATGTCTCAATGTCCCTGTAGCCATATCCTTGACAAAAGTGACATCACCTGGGTGACCAGTGCAGAGATATGTCACAAGATCTCCATTAGGCAGAGCCTAGACAAGAGTTACATCACCTGGGTGATCAGGGCAGAGATGTGTCACAATGACCCCTGTAAGCAGATCCCAGAAAGAGTTGCATCACCTCGGTGATCAGTTCAGAGATATATCTCAATGCCCCCTGTCGGCGAAGCCTATACAAGAGTTACATCATCTCGGTCATCAGTGCAGTGATATGTTAAAATACCCCTGTAGGCAGAGCCCAGACAACAGTTACATCACCTGGGTGATCAGTGCAGAGATATCTCACAATAACCCCTGTAAGCAGAGCCTAGAAAAGAGTTACATCACCTGGCTGATTAGTGCAGAGATACGTCATAAATCCCACTATAGGCAAGCCTAGGCAAGCCTAGACAATTTTACATCACCTCAGCGATCAGTTCAGAGATACGTCCTGATGTCCCTCTAGGCAGAGCTCAGACAAGTGTCACGTGTCTTGGGTGATCAGTGCAGAGATAAGTCACAATGCCCACGTATGCAGAGCATAGACAAGAGTTGTAAAGCCTCCTGTAGGCAGAGTGTAGACAAGTGTTTCCTCCCTGTGGTGATCAGTGCAGAGATATGTCACAAAGCCCCTGTAAACAGAACCTTGACAAAGGTTACATCACCTGTTTGATCAGTGGAAATGTATATCACAAAGTCCCTTGTAGGCAAAGCCCTGACAATTGTTACATCACCTGGGTGAGCAGTGGAGAGATCTGTCACAATGCCCCTGTAGGCAGAGCTTTGACAAGGGTAACATCACCTCAGTGATCAGCACAGAGGTATGTCAAAACGATCCTATAGGCTGAACCTAGACAGGAGTTACTTCACCTGGGTGATGAGTGCAGAGATATGTGAGAATTTCCGTGTAAACAGGGCCTAGGCAAGTGTTACTTCACCTAGGTTATCAGTGCAGGTATAAGTCATAAAACTCCTATTGGCAGAGCGTAGACAAGAGTTCCCGCCGCAGGGTGATCAAAGCAGTGATGTGTCACATAGCCCCTGTAGGCAGAGGCTAGACAAGGGTTTCATCACTTGGTTGATCAGTTCAGAGATGTGTCACAATGTCCATGTAGGCAGATCTAAGACAAGAGTCCATCAACTGGGTGATCAGTGTAGAGATATGTACCAATGTCCCCTGTAGGCAGTGCCTAGACAAGAGTTGCATCACCTCAGAGATCAGTACATAGATATGTCACAAATCCTTCTGTAAGCAAAGCTCATACAAGACTTACATCAGCTAGGTGATCACTGCAGTGGTATGTCACAAAAATCCCTGTAGACAGAGCCTAGCAAAGAGTTACATCACCTGGGTGATCAGTGCAGATATTTGACACAATGCCCCCAAAGACAGATCCTAGACAAGAATTCCATCACCTGGGTGATCAGTGCAGAGATATGTCACAAACCCCCACTAGGCAGAGTATAGAGAAGAGTCCCATCACCTGGGAGATGAGTGCAGATATATTTCACAACACACCTGCAGGCAGAGCGTGGACAAGTGATACATAACCTAGGTGATCTGTGCAGAGCTATGTCAAAACGCCCCTGCAGGGAGAGCCTAGATAAATGTTACATCACCTCGATAATCTGTGCAGAGATACGTCACAATACCCCATGTACGTGGAACCCAGACAACAGTTATATTACCTGGGTGATCAGTACAGAAATATGTCACAAAACCCCTGTAGGCCGAGCCTAGAAAAGAGTTACATCTCCTGGGTGATCAATGCAAAGATATGTCACAAAGCCCCCTGCAGACAAGTCCCAGAAAATTGTTACATCACCTGGGTGATCAGTGGAGATATCTGTCACAATTCACCTTGAGGCGCAGCTTAGACAAGCGTTACGTCACATGAGTGATCAGTGCAGAGATATGTCACTATGCCCCAATAGGCAGATCCAAGACAAGAGCCCATCACCTGGTTGATCAGTGCAGAAATATGCCACAATGCCGCTAGTAGGCAGATATAGGCAAGAGTTACATCACCTGCATGATCACTGCAGACATATGTCACAATGCTCCTGTAGGCAGAGCCTAGACAAGAGTCCCATCACCTGAGTGATCAGTGAAGAGTTATGTCACAATGCACCATTTTGTCAGAGCCTAGACAAGGGTTACATCACCTGGGTGATCACTGCAGAGATGTGTCACAAGCCCCCTATACCCAGAGCCTAAACAAGTGTTACATCAGCTGTGTGATCAGTGCAGTAACATGTCACAATGTCCCTGTAGCCATATCCTTGACAAAAGTGACATCACCTGGGTGATCAGTGCGGAGATATGTCACAATGTCTCCAGTAGGCAGAGCCTAGACAAGAGATACATCACCTCGGTGATCAATGCAGAGATATCTCACAATACCCCCTGTAAGCAGAGGCTAGACAAGACTTACATCACCTGGGTGATCAGTGCAGAGATATGTCATAAATCCCACTGTAGGCAAAGCCTAGACAGTTTTACATCACCTCAGCGATCAGTGCAGAGATATGTCCCAATGTTCCTCTAGGCAGAGCTTAGGAAAGAGTCACATCTCCTGGGTAATCAGTGCAGAGTTAAGTCACAATGCCCCCATAGGCAGAGCCTAGACAACACTTACATAACCCGGGTGATCCGTGCAGAGTGATGTCACAACGCCCTCTGTAGGCAGAGACTTGAAAAGGGTTACATCACCTGGGTGATCAGTGCAGAGATATGTCACTATGTCCCCTGTAGGCAGAGCATAGAGAAGAGTTGCATCACCTGGGTGATTAGTGCAGATATATGTCACAATGTCCCCTGTAGGCAAAGCCTAGGCAAGAGTTACATCACCTTTGTCATCAGTTCAGGGATATGGGAAAACGTTCCTGTAGGCAGAGCCTAGACAAAGTTACATCACCTAGCTGATCAGTGCAGAGATATTTCACAATACCCCCTATAAGCAGATCCTAGACAAGATTTGAATCACCTGGGTGATCAGTGCAGAGATATTTCACAATGCCCCCTTTGGGCAGAGGGTAGACAAGAGTTACATCACCTAGGTGATCAGTGCAAAGAGTTGTCAAAATTCTCTGTAGGCAGTGCGTACAAAAGTGTTACACCACATAAGTGATCAGTGCAGAGATATGTCACAAAGCTCCTGTAGGCAGAACTTAGATGAGTTACATCACCTTGGTGATCAGTGCAAAGGTATGTCAATAAGCCCCCGGTAGGCAAAGCCTAGACAATAGTTACATCACTTCAGTGATCAGTGGCAAGATCTCTCACAATTCCCCTGTCGGCAGAGCTTATACAACCGTTACATCACCTGGGTGATCAGTGCAGAGATATGTCACAATGCCCTCATAGGCAGATCCAAGACAAGAGTCCGTCACCTGGGTGATCAGTGCCGAAACATGTCACAATGCCCCCTTAGGCAGAGCCTAGACAAAAACCCCTTTACCTGGATGATCAGTGCAGATTTATGTCACAAAGTCCCTTTAGGCAGATCCTAGACAAGAGTTAAATCACTTGGATGATCAGTGCAGAGATATGTCACAATACCACTCAACCCAGAGCCTAGAAAACGGTTACATGACCTAGGTGATTAGTGCAGAGATACATCACAATGTCCTTGTAGGCAGAGCCTTGACAAGTGGTACATCACCTGGGTGATCATTGCAGGGATATGTCACAAAGCACCCTGTAGGCAGATCCTAGAAAACAGTTACATCATCTGGGTGATCATTGCAAAGATATGTCACAATGTCAATGTAGGCAGAGGCTAGACAAGTGTTACATGACCTAGGTGATCAGTGCAGAGATACATCGCAATGCCCCTGTAGGCAGAGTCTTGGCAAGTGGTATATCACCTGGTTGATCATTGCAGGGATATGTCACAAAGCACCCTGTGGGCAGATCCTAGAGAAGAGTTATATCACCTGGGTGATCAGTGCAGAGATATGTCACAAGACCCCTGTAGGCAGAGCCTAGACAAGAGTTATATCAACTGGGTGATCAGTGCAGTGAAATGTCAAAATGCCGTGTGGCCAGAGCCTAGACGAAAGTTACAGCACCTGGGAGATCAGTGCAGAGATATGTCACAATATCCCCAGTAGGCAGAGACCAGGCAAGAGTTGCATCACCTGGGGATCAGTGCAGAGATATGTCTCAATCCCCCTGTGGGCACAGCCTCGACAACAGTTACATCACCTCGGTTAACAGTGCAGAGATATGTCAAAATGCCCCTGTAGGCAGAGCCTACAAAATTGTTACATCACTTAGGTGATCAGTGCAGAGATATGTCACAGTACCCCCTGTAAGCAGAGCCAGACCAGAGTTAGATCACCAGGGTGATCAATGCAGTGATATGTGACCATTCCCCTTTAAGCAGAGCCTAGACAATTGTCACATCACCTGAGTGATCAGTGCAGAGATCTGTCACAATGCCCCTTAAGGCAGAGCTTAGACCAGAGTTACATCACCTGGATGATCAGTGCAGAGATATGTCACAGAGCCCCCATAGGCAAATCCAAGACATGATTCCATCACCTGAGTGATCAGTGCAGAAATTTATGACAATGACCCCAGTAAGCAGAGCCTAGAGAAGGGTCCCATCACGTAGATGATCAGTGCAGAGTTATGTCACAAGGCCCCCTATAGGCAGAGCCTGGACAAGAGTTACATCACCTCGGTGATTAAAGCGGTGATATGTCACTATACCCTGTAGGCAGAGCCTAGTCAAGCGTTACATCACCTGGGTGATCAGTGCAGAGCTATGCCACAAAGCCCCCATACACAGAGCCTAGAAAAGTGTCTCATCACTTGGGTGATCAGTGCAGAAATATGTCACAATGCCCCCATAGGCAGATCCAACACAAGAGTTACATCACCTGGGTGATCAGTGTAGAGATATGTCACAATGCCCCCATAGGCAGAGACTACACAAAAGTCCCATCACCTGGGTGATCAGTGCAGAGATATGTCACAAAGCCCTTGTAGGCAGAGCCTAGACAAGTGTTACATCACTTTGTTGATCAGTTCAGAGATGTGTCATGCTCACTGTTTGCTCCTGGAGCTCTGCGGGCACCAGCAAACATGCAGGGAAAGATGGAAGACCGGCATGGTGCCTTCGCTCTCCTTGCCAGTTTCCAAACCGGCCACACTGAATACTCCCCATGATGGCGCACACGGGAATCCATCGTCAGGCCATCACGCCGGGGAGGCATCTTCTCTCTGGGGTCTCACTCTGGTCTCCTACATGGAAATGAACGAGAGCCACAAGCCTGCATGTGTGAGACTGTCCCGGCAATAGCGAAACCTTCAGGCATTGCCTCCTTCACGGAGAGAGGGCCTGGAACTATCAATACTCCCACGGAGTTTCAGTTCCACACTCCCCTCCACCCTCTCTAGCCGGTTTCTCCCTGCTGAAGATCCGTGTGAGCCCAGAGAGCGGCTTCCAGTTCCCACGGGATTCCTGGAGAGGTCCGAAGAGCCAGCTCCCGAAACGCACACCCCTCACCCCTTCCCCCTCGCCCCCTTCCTCTTCGTCTCTCTGGCCCCACCACCAACCTCACCACGCCCTCCTCCCCACACCACCAGCCCCCGGCCGCAGGCCTCGACGCCCTGGGACCCTTCCAGGGCGGGGCAGGCTGTCCCAGGGCTCACCGCCATTCATGAAGGGGTGGAGCCTGCCTGCCTGTGGGCCTTTATAGGAGCCGCTGGCTGGCTGTCCGGGTAGGCCTCCTGGCTCCACCTGACAGTGCACATGCCGGCTGAGGTGCACGGGAGCCCGCCGGCCTCTCTCTGCCCGTGTCCTTCCATGAAATTCTGGCCGGGGCTCCCTGCGATGGCCCTCACGACACCTTCGGACGGCACACTCCTCTTGGAAGCCCAGGGACATGGACAGTGAAAGAGACTCGTTTGGACCCCGAGTCAAAGTGAGGCCCTGCGAGCTTGCTTTGAGCAGAACCCGTACCCGGGCATCGCCGTCCGAGAAAGGTTGGCCCAGGCCATCAGCATTCTGGAGCCCAGGGTGCGGATTCGATTTCAGAATGAGAGGTCAGGCCAGCTGAGGCAGCACCGGCAGGAATCTCGGCCCTGGCCCGGGAGACACGGCCCGCAGGAAGGCAGGCGAAAGCGGACCGCAGTAACCGGATCCCAGACCGCCCTGCTCCTCCGATCCTTTGAGAAGGATCGCTCCCCAGGCATCACTCCCAGGGAAGAGCTGGCCAGAGAGACGGGCCACCCGGAGTCCAGAATTCAGATCTGGTTTCAGAATGGAAGGGACAGGCACCCGGGACAGACTGGCAGGGCACTCACGCAGGCAGGCGGCCTGTGCAACGAGGCCCCCGGCGGGTGTCACCCTGCTCCCTCGTGGGTCGCCTTCCCCCACACTGGCGCTTGGGGAATGGGGCTTCCCGAATCCCACGTGCCCTGCATGCCTGGGGCTCTCCCACAGGGAATTTCGTGAGCCAGGGAGCGAGGGCGGTCCACGTACTCCAGCCCTGCCAGGGCGCTCCGGCAGAGGGGATCTTGCAACCTTCCCCGGCACGCGGGGATTTTGCCTACGCTGCCCTGGCTCCTCTGAAATGGGCGCTCTCCCATCCTCAGGCTCCTCGTTGGCCTCCGCACCCGGGCAAAAGCCAGGAGGACCAGGACCCACAGCGTGACGGCCTGCCGGGCCCTTGCACGGTGGGACAGCCTGGGCCCGCTCAAGCGAGGCCACAGGGCCAAGGTGTGCTTGCACCACCCGCGTCCCAAGGGATTCCGTAGTGTGGCTGGAGCCGGGGTCCCCAGGTCGCCGGGGCGCCGTGGGAACCCCAGGCCGGGGCAGCTCCACCTCGCCAGCCCGCTACCCTGGAGGCCCCCGCGTGGCAGGGGCAGATGCAAGGCATCCCAGCACCCTCCCAGGCGCTCCAGGAGCCGGGGAGCTCGTCTGCACTCCCCTATGGCCTGCTGCTGCATGAGCTCCTGGTGAGCCCAGAGTTTCTGCAGCAGGCACAACATTTCCTAGAAACGAAGGCCCCGGGGGAGCTGGAGGCCTTGGAAGAGGCCGACTCGCTGGAAGCACCCCTCAGCGAGGAAGAATAGCGGGCTCTGCTGGAGGAGCTTTAGGACGCGGGGTTGGGACGGGGTCAGGTCTGGGCAGGGTGGTGGCCTCTTTTTCGCAGGGAACACCTGGCTGGCTATGGAGGGGCGTGTCTTCCCCCACCCCCTCCACTGGGCTGACCAGCCTGGGATTTCTGCCTTCTAGGTCTTGGCCCGGTGAGAGACTCCCCCCAGCGGAGAACTGCCATTCTTTCCTGGGTTTCCTGAGGATCCCAGAGCCGGCCCAGATAGCAGCATGTAGGCCGCCTACTATGAAAGCACGGGTTTGCGGGCAGCCGCATGGGCTGTGGGAGCAGCCCGGGCAGAGCTCTCATGCCTTTCCACTACCCCACCCACGCCTGACCACCCCATCCCCACCCCCACCCCCAACCCCCGGAAAATGCATCCTCCCCTGGGCTGGGTGTAGACCCCCGTCCCGGGAAACACCGGACCCAGGCAGCGTCCAGGCCTGACAACCCTCCAGTGGCTCGCCTCCTCTGCACCTCCGCGCCACTGTCGCCGGCCTGCCCATGCCCCTGCAGCATCCCAGCTACCACCATGGAGCGCCTGGCGGCGGAACGCAGACCTCTAGCTCTCTTTGCTGGCCTCCTGGCTAGACCTGTGCTCATTGCCCACCCCGGTTGACGTTCAACGGAGCCCGCTGGCCTCTCTGTGACCTTGTCCGTCCGTGAAATTCAGGCGGAGGCTCTCCCAACACCTTCCGACGCTCTTCCGTCAAAGCCTGGAAAATAGTTACATCTCCTGGATGATCGTTTCAGAAATTTGTCACAATGCTCCCTCCCTGCAGAGTCTAGAGAAGATTTGCATCATTTGGGTGATCAGTGCAGAGATATATCACAATGTCCCCTGTACAAAAAGCCTGGAAATGGTTTACATCACCTCGGTGATCAGTGCATAGCTATGTCAGAAATCCCCAGTAGGCTGAACCTAGAAAAGTGTTGCATCACTTAGGTGATCAGTGTAGTGATATGTGAAAATTCCCGTGCAGACAGAGCCTAGACAAGTGTTACACCACATAGTGATCAGTGCAGGGATAAGTCCTAAAGCTTCCTGTAGGCAGAGTGTAGACAACTGTTTCCTCCCTGTGGTGATCAGTGTAGTGATATGTCTCAAAGCCCCTGTAAGCAGAACCTTGACAAGGGTTACATCACCTGTTAGATCAGTAGAAACGTATATCACAAAGCCCCCTGAAGGCAAAGCCCAGACAATTGTTACATCACCTGGGTGAGCAGTGGAGAGATCTGTCACAATGCCCCAGTAGGCAGAGCTTAGACAAGGGTTACATCACCTGGGTGATCAGTGTAGAGATATGTCAAAACGCTCCTGTAGTCTGAACCTAGACAGGAGTTACACCACCTGGGTTATCAGTGCAGAGATATGTGAGAATTCCCGTGTAGGCAGAGCCTGGACAAGTGTTACATCACCTAGGTTATCAGTGCAGGTATAAGTCGTAAAGCCCCCTGTAGACAGAGCGTAGAAAAGAGTTTCTTTCCCAGGGTGATCAGTCCAGAGATGTGTCACAAAGCCCCTGTAGGCAGAGCCTAGACAAGAGTTTCATCACTTGGTTGATCAGTTCAGAGATGTGTCACAATTTCCATGTAGGCAGATCTAAGACAAGAGTCCATTACCTGGGTGATCAGTGCAGAGATATGTCACAATGCCACTGTAGGCAGAGCCTAGACAAGAGTTACATGACTTAGGTGATCAGTGCAGAGATACATCGCAATGCCCCTGTAGCAGAGCCTTGACAATTGGTATATCACCTGGGTGATCATTGCAGGCAAATGTCACAAAGCACCCTGTAGGCAGATCCTAGAAAAGAGTTACATCACCTGGGTGATCAGTGCAGAGATATGTCATAATGCCACTGGAGGCAGAGCCTAGACAAGAGTTACATGACCTAGGTGATCAGTGCATATATACATCGCAATGCCCCTGTAAGCAGAACCTTAACAAGTGGTATATCACCTGGGTGATCATTGCAGTGATATGTCACAAAGCACCCTGTAGGCAGATCCTAGAGAAGAGTTATATCACCTGGGTGATCAGTACAGAGATATGTCACAAGCCCCCTGTAGGCAGAGCCTAGACAAGAGTTATATCACCAGGGTGATCAGTGCAGTGATATGTCACAATGCCGTGTAGCCAGAGCCTAGACTAAAGTTACAGCACCTGGGAGGTCAGTGCAGAGATATGTCACAATGTCCCCAGTAGACACAGACCAGGCAAGAGTTGGATCACAGAGGGATCACTGCAGTGATATGTCTCAATCCCCCTGTGGGCATAGCCTACACAAGAGTTACATCACCTCGGTTAACATTGCAGAGATATGTCAAAATGCCCCTGTAAGCAGAGCCTACACAAATGTTACATCACTTAGGTGATCAGTGCAGAGATATGTCACAATACCCCCTGTTAGCAGAGCCTAGACAAGAGTTGCATCACCTGGGTGATCAGAGCAGAGATGTGTGACAAGGCTCCTTTAAGCAGAGCGTAGACAATAGTTACATCACCTGAGTGATCAGTGCAGAGATCTGTCACAATGCCCCTTTAGGCAGAGCTTAGACCAGAGTTACATCACCTGGGTGATCAGTGCAGTGATATTTCACAATGCCCCCATAGGCAAATTCAAGACAAGAGTCCGTCACTTGGGTGATCAGTGCAGAAATATGTGACCATGCCCCCTGTAGGCAGAGCCTAGAGAAGAGTCCCATCACCTGGGTAATCAGTGCAGAGATATTTCACAATGCCCCTGCAGGCAGAGCATAAGCAAGAGTTACATCACCGAGAAGATCAGTGCAGAGATATGTCACAAGGCCCCCTATAGACAGAGCTTGGACAAGAGTTACATCACCTTCGTGATCAATGCAGTTGTATGTCACTATGCCCCGTAGGCAGAGCCTAGTCAAGCGTTACATCACCTGGGTGATCAGTGCAGAGATATGTCACAAAGCTCCCATACATAGAGCCTAGACAAGAGTCGCATCACCTGGGTGATCAGTGCAGAAATATGTCACAATGCCCCCATAGGCAGATCCAACACAAGAGTTACATCACCTGGATGATCAGTGTAGAGATATGTCAAAAAGCCCCCACAGGCAGAACCTAGACAAAAGTCCCATCACCTGGGTGATCAGTGCAGAGATATATCACAAAGCCCCTGTAGGCAGAGCCTAGACAAGGGTTACATCACTTTGTTGATCAGTTCAGAGATGTGTCATGCTGACTGTTTGCTCCCGGAGCTCTGCAGGCATCTGGAAACATGCAGGGAAGGGTAGAAGACCGTCATGGTGCTTTCGCTCTCCTTGTCAGTTTCCAAACCAGCCACACTGTAGACTCCCCATATTGCCCCACACGGGAATCCATCGTCAGGCCATCACGCCGGGGAGGCATCTTCTCTCTGGGGTCTCACTCTGGTCTCCTACGTGGAAATGAACGAGAGTCACACGCCTGTGCATGGGAGACTGTCCCAGCAATGGCGACACCCACAGGCACTGACTACTTCACGGAGACACGGCCTGGAACACTCAAGACTCCCACGGAGGTTCAGTTCCACACCCCTCCACCCTCCCAGGCCGTTTTCTCCCTGCTCAAGATGCGTGGGAGCCCAGAGAGTGGCCTCCAGTTCCCGCGGGATTCCTGAAGTGGTCCGGAGAGCCAGCCCCTGAAACGCGCCCCCCTCACCCCTTCGCCCTGCCCCTTCCTCTTCGTCTCTCCGGCCCCACCACCACCATCACCACGGCCTCCCCACCCACCCCACCACCCCCCGGCCGCAGGCCTTGATGCCCTGGGACTCTTCCGGGGTGGGGCGGGCTGTCCCAGGGCTCACAACCATTCATGAAGAGGTGGAGACTGCCTGCCTGCGGGCCTTTATAAGAACCGCTGGCTGGTTGTCCAGGCAGGTCTCCTGGTTGAACCTGCCACAGTGCACAGGCCAGCTGAGGTGCACGGGAGCCCACCGGACTCTCTGCCCATGTCCGTCCTTGAAATTCCGGCCGGGGCTCCCCGCATTGGCCCTCCCGACACCTTCGGACGGGACCCTCCCCGCGGAAGCCCGGGGACTGGGACGGCGAAGGAGACTCGTTTGGACCCCGAGCCAAAGCGAGGCCCTGCGAGCCTGCTTTGAGTGGAACCTGTACCCTGGTGTCGCCACCAGAGAATGGCTGGCCTTGGCCATCGGCATTCCGGAGCCCAGGGTCCAGATTCGGTTTCAGAATGAGAGGTCATGCCAGCTGAGGCAGCACCAGCGGGAATCTCGGCACTGGCCCGGGAGACGGCACGCAAGAAGGCAGGTGCAAGCGGACACTGTCACTGGATCCCAGACAGCCCTGCTCGTCCGAGCCTTTGAGAAGGATCGCTTTCCAGTCCCGCCGCCAGGGAAGAGCTGGCCAGAGAGACAGGCCTTCCAGAGTCCAGGATTCAGATCTGGTTTCAGAATCCAAGGGCCAGGCACCCGGGACAGGCAGGAAGGGCGTCCACACAGGCAAGCGGCCTGTGCAACGTGGCGTCCGGCGGGTGTCACCCTGCTCCCTCGTGGGTCGCCTTCACCCACACCAGAGCGTGGGGAACGGGGCTTCCCACACACCACGTGCCCTGCGCCCCTGGGGCTCTCCCACAGGGGTCTTTCATGTGCCAAGGAGCGAGGGCCGCCCCTGTTCCAGTCCAACCAGTCTGTGCCAGGAGAGGGGATCTCCCAACCTGTCCTAGCATGTGGGGATTTTTCCTAAGCTGCCCTGGCTCCTCCGGAAGGGGCGCTCTCCCACCCTCAGGCTCCTCGGTGGCCTCCGCACCTAGGCAAAAGCTGGGAGGACCGGGAACCACAGCGCGACTGCCTGCCGGGCCCTTGCCCTGTGGGAGAGCCTGGGCCGGCTCAAACGGGTCCACAAGGACAAGGTGTGCTTGTGCCACCCGCGTCCCAGGGGATTCCGTGGTGGGGCTGGGACCAGGGTTCCCATGTCGACAGTGTGGCGTGGGAACCACAAGCCGGGGCAGCTGCACTTCGCCAGCCCCCGCCCCCGGAGGCCTCCGCATGGCAGGGGCAGATGCAAGGCATCCCGGCGCCCTCCCAGGAGCTCCAGGAGCCGGTGCGCTCGTCTGCACTCCCCTCCGGCCTGCTGCTGGATGAGCTCTTGGCGAGCCCGGAGTTTCTGGAGCAGGCCCAACCTTTCCTAGAAACGGAGACCCTGGGGGACATGGAGGACTTTGAAGAGGCCGCCTCCCTGGAAGCACCCCTCAGCGAGGAAGAATATCTGGCTCTGCTTGAGGAGGTTTAGGTCGCTGGGTTGGGAAGGGGTTGGGTTGGAACAGGGCGGTGGCCTCCCTTTCGCGGCGAACACCTAGCTGGCTATGAAGGGGCGTGTCTTTCCCCGCCCCCTACACCAGGCTCACCGGCCTGGGATTCCTGCCTTCTTGGTCTACACCCGGTGAGAGACTCCACAGAGTGGAGAACTGCCATTCTTTCCTGGGCATCCCAGGGATCCCAGAGCCGGCCCAGGTACCAGCAGGTGGGCCGCCAACTGCGCATGCACGGGTTTGTGGGCAGCCGCCTCGCTGTGGGAGCAGCCTGGACAGAGCTCTCCTCTCTTTCCTCCACCCCACCCCCGCCTGACCAGCCCCTCCACACCCCCAACCCCCACCCCTGGAAAATGCGTCCTCCCCTGGGCTGGGTGGAGACCCCCATCCCGCAAAACATCAGGCCCACGCAACGTCCAGGCCTGACACCCCTCCAGCGGCTCGCCTCCTCTGTGCCTCCATGCCACCATCGCCGGCCTGCCCGTGCCCCTGCAGCCTCCCAGCTGCCACCATGGAGGGCCTGGCGGTGGAACCCCAACCTCTAGCTCTCTTTGCCGACCTCCTGGCTAGACCTGAGCTCATTGCGCATGCCGGCTGACGAGCAAGGGAGACCGCTGGCCTCTCTGTGCCCTTGTACATCCGTGAAATTGTGGCTGAGGCTCTCCCAACACCTTCCGACGCTCCTTGGTCACAGCCTGCAGAATACTTACATCTCCTGGATGATCAGTTCAGAAATATGTCACAATGACCCCTCCCTGTGGAGCCCAGAGAAGATTTGCATCATTTGGGTGATCAGTGCAGAGATATTTCACAATGTCACCTGCAAAAAAAGCCTGGAAATGATTTATGTCACCTCGGTGATCAGTGCATAGGTATGTCAGAAATCCCCAGTAGGCTGAACCTAGACAAGGGTTACATCACTTAGGTGAACAGTGTAGAGATATGTGAAAATTCCCGTGTAGACAGAGCCTAGACAAGAGTTACATCACCTAGTGATCAGTGCAGGGATAAGTCGTAAAGTCTCCTGTAGGCAGAGGGTAGAAAAGTGTTTCCTCCTTGGGGTGATCAGTGCCTACTGGAGACATTGTGACATATCTGCGCACTGATCACCCAGGTGATGTCACTTTTGTCAAGGATATGGCTACAGGGGCACTGTGACATTTCACTGCACTGATCACACACCTGATGTAACACTTGTCTAGGCTCTGGCTACAGGGGGCTTGTGACACATCTCTGCACTGATCCCCCAGGTGATGTAATCCTTGTCTAGGCTCTGCAAAAAGGGGGCATTGTGGCATAACTCAGCACTGATCTCCCAGGTGATGGGACAGTTGTTTAGGCTCTGCCTACAGGGGCATTGTGACATATCTCTGCAGTGATGTAACTCTTGTCTATATCTGCCTACTGGTGGCATTGTGGCATATTTCTGCAATGATCACCCAGGTGATGGACTCTTGTCTTGGATCTGCCTATGGGGTCACAGTGACATATCTCTGCACGGATGATCACCCGGGTTATATAACTGTTGTCTAGGCCTGCCTATGGGGGCATTGTGACTTATCTCTGCACTGATCACGCAGGAGATGTGACTCTTTTTTTTTTTTTTGAGACGGAGTCTCGCTCTGTCGCCCAGGCTGGAGTGCAGTGGCGGGATCTCGGCTCACTGCAAGCTCCGCCTCCCGGGTTCACGCCATTCTCCTGCCTCAGCCTCCCAAGTAGCTGGGACTACAGGCGCCCGCCACTACGCCCGGCTAATTTTTTTGTATTTTTAGTAGAGACGGGGTTTCACCGTTTTAGCCGGGATGGTCTCGATCTCTTGACCTCGTGATCCACCCGCCTTGGCCTCCCAAGAGATGTGACTCTTGTCTAAGCTCTGCCAAGAGGGACACTGGGACATATCTCTGCACTGATCGCTGAGGTGAGGTAAAACTTGTCTAGGCTTTGCCTACAGTGGGATTTATGACACATCTCTGCACTGATCACCCACGTGATGTAACTCTTGTCTAGTATCTGCTTACAGGGGATATTGTGAGATATCTCTGCACTGATCACCCACATGATGTAACTCTTTTCTAGGCTCGGCCTACAGGGGCTTTGTGACATATTTCTGCACTGATCACCCAGGTGATGTAACTCTTGTCTAGGCTCCGCTTACAGGGGCTTTGTGACATATCCCTGCACTGATCACCCAGATGATGTAACTCTTGTCTAGGCTCCACCTACAGAGGGTATTGTGACTTATCTCTGCACTGATCACCCAGGTGATGTAACATGTATCTAGGCTATGCCTACAGGGGCTTTTTGACATAGCTCTGCACAGATCACCTAGGTTATGTAACTCTTTTCCACTCTCTGCCTACAGAGGGCATTGTGAAATATCTCTGCACTGATCACCCAGGTGATGGAAGTCTTGTCTAGGCTCTGTCTATGGGGGCATTCTGTCAAATATCTGCCCTGATCACCCAGGTGATGTAACTCTATTCTAGGCTCTGTCTACAGGGATTTTTGTGACATATCACTGCACTGATCACCTAGGTGATGTAAGCCTTGTATGAGCTTTGCCTATAGAGGCTTTGTGACATATCTATGCCCTGATCTCTGAGGTTATGCAACTCTTGTCTAGGCACTGCCTGCAGGGGACATTGGTACATATCTCTGCTCAGATCACCCATATTATGGACACTTGTCTTAGATCTGCCTACATGGACATTGTGACACATCTCTGAACTGATCAACCAAGTGATGAAACTCTTGTCTAGGCTCTGCCTACAGGGGCTTTGTGACACTTCTCTGCACTGATCACCCTGGGGAGGGAACTCTTGCTACGCTCTGCCTATAGGAGGCTTTATGACTTATACCTGCACTGATAACCAAGGTGATATAACACTTGTCTAGGCTCTGCCTACAGTGGAATTCTCACATATCTCTGCACTGATCACCTGGGTGATGTAACTCCTGTCTAGGTTCAGCCTACAGGAACGTTTTGACATATCTCTGCACTGATCACCCAGGTGGTGTAACCCTTGTCTAAGCTCTGCCTACAGGGGCATTGTGACAGATCTCTCCACTGCTCACTCAGGTGATGTAACAATTGTCTGGGCTTTGCCTACAGGGGGCTTTGTGATATACATTTCCACTGATCAAACAGGTGATGTAACCCTTGTCAAAGTTCTGCTTACAGGGGCTTTGTGACATATCTCTGCACTGATCACCCCAGGGAGGAAACACTTTTCTACACTCTGCCTATGGGAGGCTTTATGACTATTCCCTGCACTGATCACTAGGTGATGTAACAGCTGTCTAAGCTCTGTCTACAAGGAAAATTTCACATATCTCTAAACTGATCACATAAGTGATGTAACCCTTGTCTAGGATCAGCCTACTGGGGATTTCTGACATACCTATGCACTGATCACCGAGGTGACGTAAATCATTTCCAGGCTTTTTGTACAGGGGACATTGTGATATATCTCTGTGCTGATCACCCAAATGATGCAAATCTTCTCTAGGCTCCGCAGGGAGGGGGCATTGTGACATATTTCTGAACTGATCATTCAGGAAATGTAACTATTCTCCAGGCTTTGACTAAAGAGTGTCGGAAGGTGTTGGGAGAGCCTCAGCTGGAATTTCACAGACGGACAAGGGCACCGAGAGGCCAGCGGGCTCCCTTGCACGTCAGCAGGTGTGCACAATAAGCGCAGGTCTAGCCAGGAGTCCGGCAAAGAGAGCTAGAGGTCTGCGTTCCGCCACCAGGCCCTCCATGGTGGCAGCTGGGAAACTGCAGGGTCACGGGCGGGCTGGCGATGGTGGCGCGGTGGCGCAGAGGAGGCGAGCCGCCGGAAGGGTGTCAGACCTGGACGCTGCAAGTGCCCGGTGTTTCGTGGGACGGGGGTCTCCACGTAGCCCAGGGGAGGATGCATTTTACGTGGGTGCCGATGGGGGAGGGTATGGGTTGGTCAGGCGGGGGTGGGGTGGTAGAAAAGCATGAGAGCTCTGCCCTGGCTGCTCCCACTGCCCAGGCGGCTGCCCACAAACCCGCGCATGCGCAGTAGGCGTCCCATCTGCTGGTACCTGGGCCGGCTCTGGGATCTCCGGGATGCCCAGGAAAGAATGGCAGTTCTCCACTGTGTGGAGTCTGTCACGGGGCCTAGACTTAGAAGGCAGGAATCCCAGACCGGTGAGCCCAGTGTAGGGGGCGGGGGAAAGACACGCCCCTCCATAGCCAGCCAGGTGTTCCCCGCGAAAAAGAGGCCACCGCCCTGCCCCGACCCGACACCGTCCCAACCCTGTGTCCTAAATCTCCTCCAGGAGAGCCTGGTATTCTTGCTCACTGAGGGGGGTGCTTTCAGCGAGGCGGCCACTTCCAAGGCCTCCAGCTCCCCCGGGGTCTCCATTTCTAGGAAAGTTTGTGCCTGCTGCAGAAACTCCGGGCTCAGCAGGAGCTTATCCAGTAGCAGGCCGTAGGGGAGTGCAGACGGGGGTCCCGGCTCCTGGAGGGCCTGGAAGGGCGCCGGTATGCCTTGCATCTGCCAGTGCCATGCAGAGGCCTCTGGGTGCGCGGGCTGGCAAGGTGGAGCTGCCCCGCCTTGGGGTTCCCACGCCGCCCGGGCGACCTGGGGACCACGGGCCCAGCCCCACCACGGACTCCTCTGGGACGCGGGTTGCGCAAACACACCTTGGCCCTGTTGCCCTGCTTGAGCAGGCCCAGGATGTCCCACCACTCAAGGGCCTGGCAGGCCATCGTGCTGTGGGTCCCAGTCCTCCCAGCTTTTGCCCGGGTGCGGAGGCCACCGAGGAGCCTGAGGGTGGGAGAGCGCCCATTCCGGAGGAGCCGGGGTGGCGTATGCAAAATCCCCACATCCTGGGGCAGGTTGGGAGATACCCTGTGCCGGGGCAGCCTTGCTGGGCTGGAGCACGGGGACGGCCCTCACTCCCTGGCTCACGAAAGCCCCCTGTGGTAGAGCCCCAGGCCAGCAGGGCACGTGGGGTGCGGGATGCCCCGTTACCCACGCGCCGTTGTGGGCGAAGGCGACCCATGAGGGAGCAGGGTGACACAAGCCGGGGGCTGTGTTGCACAGGCCACCCTCCTGTGCGGGCGCCCTGCCAGCCTGTCCCGGGTGCCTGGCCCTGAGATTCTGAAAAGATTTCTGAATTCTGGACTCCGGGAAGCCCATCTCGCTGGCCAGCTCTTCCCTGGCGGCTATGCCTGGAAAGCGATCCTTCTCAACGGCTCGGAGGAGAAGGCCAGTCTGGGATCCAGTGACGGCGGTCTGCTTTCGCCTGCCTTCTTGCGGGCCGCGTCTCCCGGGCCAGGGCCCAGATTCCCGCCATTGCTGCCTCATCTTGCGTGACCTCTCATTCTGAAACCGAATCTGGACCCTGGGATCCGGAATGCCGATGGCCTGGGCCAGCAGCTCTCTGCTGTTGATGTACGGGTATGGGATCCGCTCAAAGCAGGCTCGCAGGGCCTCGATTTGGCTCGGGGTCCACACGAGTCACCTTTGCCGTCCCCGTCCCCGGACTTCCGCGGGGAGGGTGCTGTCCGAAGGTGTCGGGAGGGCCATCGCGGGGAGCCCTGGGCAGAATTTCACGGACGGACATGGGCAGAGAGAGGCCGGTGGGCTCCCGTGCACCTCAAACGGCCTGTGCACTGCAGCAGGTGCAGCCAGGAGGCCTGCCCGGACAGCCAGCCAGCGGCTCTTATAAAGGCCCACAGGCAGGCAGGCTCCACCACTTCATGAATGGCGGTGAGCCCTGGGACAGCCTGCCCCACCCCGGAAGGGTCCCAGGATGTCCAGGCCTGCGGCCGGGGGGTGGTGGGGTTTGGGGGAGGGCGTGGTGATGGTGGTGGTGGGGACAGAGGCACGAACAGGAAGGGGGCGAGGGGAAAGGGGTGAAGGGGGCGCTTTTTGGGGGCTGGCTCTCTGGACCTCTCTAGCAATCCCGCGGGAACTGGAAGCCGCTCTCTGGGCTCCCACGCATCTACAGCAGGGAGAAACCGGCCTGGGAGGGTGGTGGGGAGTGTGGAACTGAACTTCCGTGGGAGTCTTGAGGGTTCCAGGCCCACTCTCCGTGAAGGAGGCAGTGCCTGTGGGTGTTGCTGTTGTCTGGAAAGTCTCACACACACAGGCCTGTGGCTCTCGTTCGTTTCCACGTAGGAGACCAGAGCGAGACCCCAGAGAGAAGATGCCCCCCCGGCGTGATGGTCTGACGATGGATTCCCGTTTGCGGCAAAATGGGGAGTCTGCAGTGTGGCCGGTTTGGAAACTGGCAAGGAGAGCGAAGGCACCATACCGGTCTTCCACCCTTCCCTGCATGTTTCCAGGTGCCCGCAGAGCTCCGGGAGCAACATTCAGCATGACACATCTCTGAACTGATCAACAAAGTGATGTAACCCTTGTCTAGGCTCTGCCTACAGGGGCTTTGTGACATATCTCTGCACTGATCACCCAGCTGATGGGACGTTTGTCAAGGATCTGTCCATGGGGGCATTGTGACATATCTCTACACTGATCACCCAGGTGATGTAACTCTTGTGTAGTCTCTGCCTATGGGGGCATTGTGACTTATTCCTGCACTGATCACCCAGGTAATGGGACTCTTGTCTAGACTCTGTGTATGGGGGCTTTGTGACATATCTCTGCATTGATCACCCAGGTGATGTAACGCTTGACTAGGCTCTGCCTACGGGGCATAGTGACATAACACTGCATTGATCACCGAGGTGATGTAACTCTTGTCCAGATTCTGCCTATAGGGGACCTTGTGACATATCTCTGCACTGATCACGCAGGTCATGTAACACTTGCTTACCCTCTGCCTGCAGGGGCATTGTGAAATATCTCTGCACTGATCACCCAGGTGATGGGACTCTTCTCTAGGCTCTGCCTACTGGGGGCATTGTCACATATTTCTGCACTGATCACCCAGGTGATGGACTCTTGTCTTGGATTTGCCTATGGGGGCATTGTGACATATCTCTGCACTGACCACCCAGGTGATGTAACTCTGGTCTCAGCGCTGCCTAAAGGGGCATTGTGACAGATCTCTGCACTAATCACTCAGGTGATGTAACAATTGTCTAGGCTCTGTTTAAAGGGGCCTTGTCACATATCTCTGCACTGATCACCCAGGTGATGTAACTCTTGTCTAGGCTCTGCTTACAGGGGGTATTGTGACATATCTCTGCACTGATAACCTAAGTGATGTAACACTTGTGTAGGCTCTGCATACAGGGGCATTTTGACATACCTCTGCACTGTTAACCAAGATGATGTAACTTTTGTCTAGGCTGTGTCCACAGGGGGATTGAGACAAATCTCTGCACTGATCTCGAGGTGATCCAACTCTTGCCTGGTCTCTGCCTACTCGGGATATTGTGACATATCTCTGCACTGATCTCCCAGGTGCTGTAACTTTAGTCTAGGCTCCGGCTACACGGCATTGTGACATATCACTGCAATAATCACCCAGGTGATATAACTCTTCTCTAGGCTCTGCCTACAGGGGTCTTGTGACATATATCTGCACTGACCACCCACGTGATGGGACGCTTCTCTAGGCTCTGCCAACAGTGGCATTGTGACATATCTGTGCACTGATCACCCAGCTGATGTAACTCTTTTCTAGGATCTGCCTACAGGGTGCTTTGTGACATATCCCTGCAATGATCACTCAGGTGATGTACCAATTTTCAAGGGTCTGCCTACAGGGACATTGCGATGAATCTCTGCACTGATCACCTAGCTCATGTAACTCTTGTCTAGGCTCTGCCTACAGTGGCATTGTGACATATCTATGCACTGATCCCCCAGGTGATTCGACTCTTGTCTAGAATCTGTCCACAGGGGATATTGTGAAATATCACTGCACTGATCAACTAGGTGGTGTAACTCTTGTCTACCCTCTGTCCAACGGGGTATTGTGAAATATCTCTGCACTGATCACCATGGTGATTCAACTCTTGTCTAGGATCTGCCTACAGAGGGTATTGTGAAATATCTCTGCACTGATCAACTAGGTGGCGGAACTCTTATCTAGGCTCTGCCTACAGGGGCGTTTTCACATATCCCTAAACTGAAGACAAAGGTGATGTAACTCTTGCCTAGGCTTTGCCTACTGGGGACATTGTGACATATATCTGCACTGATCACCCAGGTGATGCAACTCTTGCCTAGGCTTTGCCTACAGGGGACATTGTGACATATTTCTGCACTGATCACCCAGGTGATGCAACTCTTCTCTGTGCTCTGACTACAGGGGACATTGTGACATATCTCTGCACTGATCAACCGGGTGATGCAACTCTTCTCCATGCTCTGCCTACAGGGGGCATTGTGAGATATCTCTGCACTGATCACCCAGGTGTTGTAACTCTTTTCTAGTCTCTACCTACAGAGGGTGTTCTGACATCACTCTGCAGAGATCACCCGGGATATCTAACTCTTGTCTAGGCTCTGCCTATGGGGGCATTGTGACTTATCTCTGCACTGATCACCCAGGAGATGTGACTCTTGTCTAAGCTCTGTCTAGAGGGACATTGGAACATATCTCTGCACTGATCGCTGAGGTGATGTAAAACTTCTCTACGCTTTGCCTAAAGTGGGATTTATGACATATCTCTGCACTGATCACCCAGGTGATATAACTCTTGTCTAGGCTCTGCCTACAGGGGGGCTTGTGACATATCTCTGCACTGATCACCCAGGTGATATAACTTTTCTCTAGGATCTGCCTACAGGGTACTTTGTGGCATATCCCTGCAATGATCACCCAGCTGATTTACCGCCTGTCAAGGCTCTGCCTACAGGGACATTGCGATGTATCTCTGCACTGATCACCTAGGTCATGTAACTCTTGTCTAGGCTCTGCCTACACTGGCATAGTGACATATCTCTGCACTGATCATCCAAGTGATGTAACATTTGTCTAGGATCTGCTTAAAGGGACTTTGTGACATAACTCTGCACTGATCATCCAGGTGATGGGGCTTTTCTCTAGGCTCTGCCTAAGGTGGCATTGTGAAATATTTCTGCACTGATCACCCAGGTGACGGACTCTTGTCTTGGATCTGCCTATGGGCGCATTGTGACATATCTCTGCAGTGATCACCCTGGTGATATAACTGTTGTATAATCTCTGCCTACAGGGGAACTGTGAGAGATCTCTCCACTAATCACCCAAGTAAGGTAACTATTGTCTAGGCTTTGCCTACAGGGGGCTTTGTGATATACATTTGCACTGATCACCCAGGTGAAGTAACTCATCTAAATTGTGCCTACAGGAGCTTTGTGACATATCTCTGCACTGATCACCCAGGTGATGCAACTCTTCCCTATGCTCTGCCTACAGGAGGCATTTTGAAATATCTCTGCACTGATCACCCAGGTGATGTAACTCTTTTCTAGTCTCTACCTACAGAGGGTGTTCTGACATCACTCTGCAGAGATCACCCGGGATATCTAACTCTTGTCTAGGCTCTGCCTATGGGGGCATTGTGACTTAGCTCTGCACTGATCACCCAGGAGACGTGTCTCTTGTCTAAGCTCTGCCTAGAGGGACATTGGGACATATCACTGCACTGATCACTGAGATGATGTAACTCATGTATAGGCTTCGCCTACAGGAGGCATTGAGACATATCTCTGCACTGATCACCGAGGTGATGCAACTCTTCTCTGGGATCTGCTTACAGGGGGCATTGTGACATATATCTGCCCTGATAACCCAGGTGAGGTAACTCTTGTCTAGGCTCTTCCTACTGGAGACATTGTGACATATGTCCGCACTGATCACCCAGGTGATGTCACTTTTGTCAAGGATATGGTTATAGGGATATTGTGACATGTCACTGCACTGATCACACAGCTGATGTAACCCTTGTGTAGGCTCTGGATACAGGGGGTTGTGACACATCACTGCACTGATCACCCAGGTGATGTAACCCTTGTCTAGGCTCTGTCAAAAGGGGGCATTGTGACACAAGTCTGCACTGATCATCCAGGTGATGGGAGTCTTGTCTAGGCTCTGCCTACAGGGGCATTGTGACATATCTCTGCAGTGATCACGCAGGTGATGTGACTCTTGTCTATATCTGCCTACTGGCGTCATTGTGGCATATTTCTGCACTGATCACCCAGGTGATGGACTCTTGTCTTGGATCTGCCTATAGGGGCATAGTGACATATCTCTACACTGATCACTCATGTGACGTAAGGCTTGTCTAAGCTGCACCTAAAGGGGAATTGTGACAGATATTTCCACTGATCACCCAGGTGATGTAACAATTTTCTGGGATTTGTCTACAGGGGGCTTTGTGACATATCTTTGCACTGATCACCCAGGAGATGTAATTCTACTCTAGGCTCGGCATACAGGGGCTTTGTGACATATTTCTGCACTGATCACCGAGTTGATGTAACTCTTGTCTAGTCTCCGCCTACAGGCGGTATTGTGACGTATCTCTGCACTGGTCACCCAGGTGATGTAACATTTATCTAGGCTCTGCCTACTGCGGCGTTGTGACATAGGTCTGCACAGATCACCTAGGTTATGTAACTCTTGTCCTCTCTCTGCCTACAGGGGGCATTGTGAAATATCTCTGCACTGATGACCCAGGTGATGGGACTCTTCTCTATACTCTGCCTAGAGGGGGATTTGTGACATATCTCTACACTGATCACCCATGTGATGGAAGCCTTGTCTAGGCTCTGTTTATGGGGGCATTGTGTCAAATGTCGGCACTGATCACCGAGGTGTTGTAACTCTTTTCTAAGCTCTGTCTACCGGGATTTTTGTGACATATCACTGCACTGATCACCTAGGTGATGTAAGCCTTGTGTGGGCTTTGCCTACAGAACGATTTGTGACATATCTATGCAATGATCTCTGAGGTGATGCAACTCTTGTCTAGGCACTGCCTACAAGGGACATTGGTACATATCTCTGCACTGATTACCCAGATGATGGACCCTTGTCTTAGATCTGCCTACATGGACATTGTGACACATCTCTGAACTGATCAATGAAGTGATGAAACTCTTGTCTAGGCTCTGCCTACAGGGGCTTTGTGACACATCTCTGCACTGATCACCCTGGGGAGGGAACTCTTGTCTACGCTCTGCCTACAGGAGGCTTTATGACTTATACCTGCACTGATAACCTAGCTGATATAACACTAGTCTAGGCTCTGCCTACACGGGAATTCTCACATATCTCTGCACTGATCACCCGGGTAATGTAACTCCTGCCTAGGTTCAGCCTACAGGAGCGTTTTGACATATCTCTGCACTGATCACCCAGGTGATGTAACACTTGTCTAAGCTCTGCCTACAGGGGCATTGTGACAGATCTCTCCACTGCTCACCCAGGTGATGTAACAATTGTCTGGGCTTTGCCTGCCGGGGGATTTGTGATATACATTTCCACTGGTCAAACAGGTGATGTAACCCTTGTCAAGGTTCTGCTTACAGGGGCTTTGTGACATATCTCTGCACTGATCACCCCAGGGAGGAAACAATTGTCTACACTCTGCCTACAGGAGGCTTTACGACTTATCCCTGCACTGATCACTAGGTGATGTAACACTTGTCTAGCCTCTGTATACACGGGAATTTTCACATATCTCTACACTGATCACCTAAGTGATGTAACCCTTGTCTAGGTTCAGCTTACTGGGGATTTCTGACATACCTATGCACTGATCACCGAGGTGATGTAAATCATTTCCAGGCTTTTTGTAGAGGGGACATTGTGATATATCTCTGCACTGATCACCCAAATGATGCAAATCTTCTCTAGGCTCCGCAGGGAGGGGGCATTGTGACATATTTCTGAACTGATCATCCAGGAGATGTAACTATTCTCCAGGCTTTGACTAAAGAGTGTCGGAAGGTGTTGGGAGAGCCTCAGCCAGAATTTCATGGTGGACAAGGGCACAGAGAGGCCAGCTGCCTCCCTTGCAAGTCAGCTGGGGTGCGCAATGATCGCAGGTCTAGTCCGGAGGCCGGCAGAGACAGCTAGAGGTCTGAGTTCTGCCGCCAGGAGCTCCATGGTGGCAGCTGGGAGGCTGCAGGGGCACGGGCGAGCCGGCGACGGTGGCGTGGAAGCACAGAGGAGGCGAGCCGCTGGAGGGGTATCAGGTCTGGACGCTGCGCGGGCCCGGTGTTTCACGGGTCGTGGGTCTCCACCGAGCCCAGAGGAGGATGCATTTTCCGGGGGTGGGGGGTGGGGGTGGTGAGGGAGTGGTCAGGCCGAGGTGGGGTGGTGGTAAGACATCAGGGCTCTGCCGGGTTGCTCCCACAGCCCATGTGGCTGTGCACAAACCTGTAAGTGTGCAGTAGGTGGCCCACCTGCTGGTACCTGGGCCGGATCAGGGATCCCCAGGATGCCCATGAAAGAATGGCAGTTCTCCGCTGTGTGGAGTCTCTCACTGGGCCCAGACCTAGATGGCAGGAATCCCAGGCTGTTCAGCTAGGTGAAGGGGGTTGTGGGAAGAGTTGCCCCTCCATAGCCAGCCAGGTGCTCCCCGTGATAGAGAGGCCACCACCCTGCCCCAACCCGACCCCATACCAACCACGCATCCTAAAACTCCTCCTGCAGAGGCCGGTATTCTTCCTCCCTGATTGGTGATTCCAGCGAGGTGGCCTCTTCCAAGGCCTCCAGCTCCCCCGGGGCCTCCGTTTCTAGGAAATTTAGCGCCTGCTGCAGAAACTCCAGGCTCGCCAAGAGCTCATCCAGCAGCAAGCCGGAGGGAAGTGCAGACGAGCGCCCCAGCTCCTGTAGCGCCTGGGAGGGCGCCAGGAAGTCTTGCATCTGCCCCAGCCACTTGGAGGCCTCCAGGGGTGCGGCCTGGCGAGGTGGAGCTGCCCCAGGTTGGGGATCCCACTCCGCCACGGCGACCTGGGTACCCCGGCCCCAGCCGCACCACGGACTCCACTGGGACGTGGGTGGTGCAAGCACACCTTGACCCTGTGGCCCCGCTTGAACGGGACCAGGCTGTTCCTCCGCGCAGGGCCCGGCAGGCCGTCGTGCTGTGGGCCCCGATCCTCCCGGCTTTTGCCCAGGTGCGGAGGCCACTGAGGAGCCTGAGGGTGTGAGAGTGCCCCTTCCGGAGGAGCCGGGGTGACATAGGCAAAATCCCCGTGTACCGGGACAGTGTTGGGGGATCCCCTCTGCTGGTGCGGCCTTGCTGGGCTGGAGCACAGGGACCGCCCTCGCTCCCTAGCTCACGAAAGCCCCCTGTGGGAGAGCACCAGGTGCGCAGGGCACATGGGTTGCGGGAAGCCCCGTTCCCCACGAGCCAGTGTGGGCGAAGGCGACCCACGAGGGAGGAGGGTGACACCCGCCGGGGCCGCGTTGCCCCGACTGCCTGCCTGTGCGGGCGCCCTGCCAGCCTGTCCCGGGTGCCTTGCCCTTCGATTCTGAAGCCAGATCTGAATCCTGGACTCCAGGGGGACCCTCCAGCTGGCCAGCTCTTCCCTGGCGGCAATGCCTGGAAAGCGATCCTTCTCAAATGCTCGGAGGAGCAGGGTGGTCTGGGATCCGGTGAAGGCGGTCTGCTTTCGCCTGCCTTCTTGTGGGCCCCGTCTCCCGGGCCAGGGCCAAGATTCCCGCTGTTGCTGCCTCAGCTGGAGTGACCTCTCATTCTGAAATCAAATCTGGACCTTGGGCTCCAGAATGCCGAAGGCCTGGGCCAGCCGTTCTCTGGTGGCGATGCCCGGGTATGGGTTCCGCTCAAAGCAGGCTCCCAGGGCCTCGCTTTGCCTCGGGGTCCAAACGAGTCTCCTTCGCCATCCCCGTCCCCGGGCTTCCGTGGGGAGGGTGCTGTCAGAAGGTGTCAGGAGGGCAATAGCGGGGAGCCCCGGTCAGAATTTCACGGACGGACACGGGCAGAGAGAAGCCGCCGTGCTCCGTGCACCTCAGCCGGCCTGTGCATTGCGGCAGGAGCAGCCAGGAGGCCTGCCCTGACAGCCAGCCAGACGCTCTGATAAAGGCCTGCAGGCAGGCATGCTCCACCCCTTGATGAATGGCGGTGAGTCCTGGGACAGACCGCCCACCCTGGAAGGGTCGCAGAGAGCCGAGGCCTGCTGGTGGTGTGGTGGGGGGAGAGGGTGTGGTGATGGTGGCGATCAGGCTGGAGAGCCTAAGAGGAAGGGGGCGAGGGGGAAGGGGTGAGGGGGCGCGTTTCTGGGGCTGGCTCTCCGGACCTCTCCAGGAATGCCGTGGGAACTGGAAGCCACTCTCTGGGCTCCCACGCATCTTCAGCAGGGAGAAACGGGACTGGGTGGGTAGAGGGAGTGTGGAACTCAACCTCCGTGGGAGTCTGGAGTGTTCCATGCCCTCTCTCCGTGAAGGAGGCAGTGCCTGTGGGTGTGGCCGTTGCCGGGACAGCCTCACACGCGCAGGCATGTGGCTCTCATTCATCAACACGTAGGAGACCAGAGCGAGACCCCAGAGAGAAGATGCCTCCCCGGCGTGATGGCCTGACGATGGACTACCGTGTGCAGCAACATGGGGAGTCTGCAGTGTGGCCGGTTTAGAAACTGGGAAGGAGAGCGAATGCACCATGCTGGTCTTCCACCCTTCCCTGCATGTTTCCGGGTGCCCGCAGAGCTCCGGGAGCAAACAGTCAGCATGACACATCTCTGAACTGATCAACAAAGTGATGTAACTCTTTTCTAGGCTCTGCCTAAAGGGGCTTTGTGACATAGCTGTGCACTGATCACTCAGGTGATGGGACTTTTGTCTAGGCTCTGCCTATGGGGGCATTGTGACATATCTCTAGACTGATCACCCAGGTGATGTAACCCTTGTGTTGGATCTGTTTATGGGGGCATTGTGACATATTTCTGCACTGATCACCCAGGTGATGGGTCTCTTATCTAGGCTCTGTGTATGGGTCCTTTTGACATAACTCTGCACTGATCACCCAGGTGATGTAACGCTTGACTAGGCTCTGCCTACGGGGCATAGTGACATATCACTGCATTGATTACTAAGGTGATGTAACTCTTGTCCAGGCTCTGCCTATAAGGGGCCTTGTGACATATCTCTGCACTGATCACCTAGGTGACGTAACACTTGCTTACACTCTGCCTGCAGGGGCATTGTGAAATATCTCTGCACTGATCACCCAGGTGATGGGACTCTTCTCTAGGCTCTGCCTACTGGGGGCATTGTCACATATTTCCGCACTGATCACCCAGGTGACGGACCCTTGTCTTGGATTTGCCTATGGGGGCATTGTGACATATCTCTGCACTGATCACCCAAGTGATGTAACTCGGGACTAAGCTCTGCCTACAGGGGCATTTTGACAAATCTCTGCACTGTTAACCGAGGTGATGTAACTCTTGTCTAGGCTGTGCCCACAGGGGTATTGAGACATGTCTCAGCACTGATCCCGAGGTGATCCAACTCTTGCCTGGTCTCTGCCTACTGGGGACATTGTGACATATCTCTGCACTGATCTCCCAGGTGCTGTAACTTTAGTCTAGGCTCTGTCTACACGGCATTGTGACATATCACTCCACTGATCACCCAGTTGATATACCTCTTGCCCAGGCTCTGCCTACTGGGGCCTTGTGACATATCTCTGCCCTGATCATCTAGGTGATGTAACTCTTGCTTACGCTCTGCCTGTTCGGGCATTGTGAAATATCTCTGCATTGATCACCCAGGTGATGGGACTCTTCCCCAGGCTCTGCCTACTGGGGGATTGTCGCATATTTCTGCACTGATCACCCAGATGACGGACTCTTGTCTTGGATTTACCTATGAGGGCATTGTGACAGATCTCTGCACTAGTCACTCAGGTGATGTAACTTTTGATTATGCTCTGCCTACAGGGGCTTTGTGACATATCTCTGCACTGATCACCCAGGTGATGTAACTGTTGTCTAGGCTCCACCTACAGGGGGTATTGTGACATATCTCTGCACTGATCACCAAGGTGATATAACTCTTCTCTAGGATCTGCCTACAGGGTGCTTTGTGACATATCCCTTCAATGATCACCCAGGTGACATACCAGTTGTCAAGGCTCAGCCTACAGAGGCATTGCGATGTATCTCTGCAACAACCACCTAGGTAATGTAACTCTTGTCTGGGCTTTCCCTACAGTGGCATTGTGACATATCTCTGCACTGATCACCCAGGTGATGTAACTCTTTTCTAGGATCTGCCTACAGGGTGCTTTGTGACATATCCCTGCAATGATCACCCAGGTGATGTACCAGTTGTCAAGGCTCTGCCTACAATGACATTGCGATGTATCTCTGAACTGATCACCTAGGTCATGTAACCCTTTTCTTGGCTCTGCCTAGAGTGGCATTGTGACATATCTATGCACTGATCATCCAAGTGATGTAACATTTGTCTATGATCTGCCTAAAGGGTCTTTGTGACATAACTCTGCACTGATCATCCAGGTGATGGGGCTTTTGTCTAGGCTGTGCCTAAGGGGGAATTGTGACATGTTTTTGCACTGACCACCCAGGTGACGGACTCTTTTCTTGGATCTGCCTATGGGGGAATTGTGACATATCTCTGCATTGATCACCCGGGTGATGTAACTGTTGTATAAACTCTGCTAACAGGGGAATTGTGAGACATCTCGCCACTGATCACCCAACTGATGTATCTATTGTCTAGGCTTTGCCTACAGGGGGCTTTGAGACATACATTTTCACTGATCACCCAGGTGATGTAACTCATCTAAGTTCTGCCTACAGGAGCTTTGCGACATATTTCTGCACTGATGACTTAGGGGATGTAACACTATTATAAGCACTGCCTCCAGGGAGTTTTGACAAATCTCTGCACTGATCACCTAGGTGATGAAACTCTTGTCTACACTCTGCCCAAATGGGGAATTGTGAAATATCTCTGCACGGATCACCCAGGTGATTCAACTCTTGTCTACGATCTGCCTACAGGGGGTATTGTGAAATATCAATGCACTGATCAGCTAGGTGATGTAACACTTGTCAACCTCTGTCTACAGGGGAGTTTACACATATCCCTGAACTGATGACACAGGTGATGTAACTCGTGCCTAGGCTTTGCCTACAGGGGACACTGTGACATATCTCTGCACTGATCCCCCAGGTGATGCAACTATTCTCTATGGTCTGCCTACAGGGGAAATTGTGACATAACTCTGCACTTATCACCCAGGTGATGCAACGCTTCTCTATGCCCTTCCTACAGGGGGTATTGTGACATATCTCTGCACTGATCACCCAGGTGTTGTAACCCTTTTCTAGTCTCTGCCTATGGCGGGCGTTGTGAATCACTCTGCACGGATCACCCGGGTTATGTAACTCTTGTCTAGGCTCTGCCTATAGGCGCTTTGTGACTTATCACTGCACTGATCACCCAGGAGATGTGACTCTTGTCTAAGCTCTGCCCAGAGGGACATTGGGACATATCTCTGCACTGATCGCTGTGGTGATTTAAAACTTGTCTAGGCTTTGCCTACAGTGGGATTTATGACATATCTCTGCGCTGATCACCCAGGTGATGTAACTCTTGTCTAGGCTGTGCTTACAGGGGGTATTGTGAGATATCTCTGCACTGATCACCCAGGCGATGTAACTCTTTTCTAGGCTCTGTGTACAGGGATTTTTGTGACATACCACTGCACTGATCACTTGGTGATGTAAGCCTTGTATGGGCTTTGCGTACAGAAGGCTTTGTGACATATCTATGCACTGATCTCTAAGGTGATGCAACTCTTGTCTAGGCATTGCCTACAGGGGACATTGGTACATATCTCTGCACTGATCACCCAGGTGATTGACTCTTGTCTTAGATCTGCCTACATGGAAGTTGTGACACATCTCTGAACTGATCAACCAAGTGATGAAACTCTTGTCTAGGCTCTGCCTACCGGGGCTTTGTGACACATCTCTGCACTGATCTCCCTTGGGAGGAAACTCTTATCTACGCTCTGCCCACAGGAGGCCTTATGACTTATACCTGCACTGATAACATAGGTGATGTAACGGTTGTCTAGACTCTGCCTAAACGGGAATTCTCTCATATCTCTTCACTGATCACCTGGGTGATGTAACTCCTGTCTAGGTTCAGCCTACAGGAGCATTTTGACATATCTCTACACTGATCACCCAGGTGATGTAACCCTTGTCTAAGCTATGCCTACAGGGCTATTGTGAAACGTCTCTCCACTGTTCACCCAGGTGATGTAATAATTGTCTGGGCTTTGCCTACAGGGGGCTTTGTGATATACATTTCCACTGATCAAACAGGTGATGTAACCTTTGTCAAGGTTCTGCTTACAGGGGCTTTGTGACATTACTCTGCACCGATCACCCCAGGGAGGAAACAGTTTTCTAAACCCTGCCTATAGAAGGATTTATGACTTATCCCTGCACTGATCACTAGGTGATGTAACACTTGTCTAGGGTCTGTCTACACGGGAATTTTCACATATCTCTACACTGATCATCTAAGTGATGTAACCCTTGTCTAGGTTCAGGCTGCTGGGGATTTCTGACATACCTATGCACTGATCACCGAGGTGATGTAAATCATTTCCAGGTTTATTGTACAGCAGACATTGTGATATATCTCTCCACTGATCACCCAAATGATGCAAATCTCTAGGCTCCGCAGGGAGGAGCATTGTGACATATTTCTGAACTGATCGTCCAGGAGATATAACTATTCTCCAGGCTTTGACTAAACAGCGTTGGAAGGTGTTGGGAGAACCTCAGCGGGAATTTCACGGACCGACAAGGGCACAGAGAGAACTGAGACCTCCCTTGCACGTCAGCCAGGGTGCTCAATGAGCGCAGGTCTAGCCAGGAGGCTGTCAAAGAGAGCTAGAGGTCTGGTTTCTGCCGCCAGGTGGTCCATGGTGGCAGCTGGGAGGCTGCAGAAGCACGGGCGCGACAGCGACGGTGGCGCGGAGCCGCAGAGGCGGCAAGCCGCCGGAGGGGTGTGAGGCCTGGAGGCTGCGCGGTACCGGTGTTTCACGGGACGGGGGTCTCCACCCAGCCCAGGGGGGGATGCATTTTCCTGGGCTGGAGTGTGGGTGTGGGGAGGGGGTGATCAGGCGGGGTGGGGTGGTGGAAAGGCATGAGAGCACTGCCTGGGCTGCTCCCACAGCCCAGGCGACTGCCCGCAATCCCTCGCGTGCACAGTAGGCGGCCAACCTGCTGGTATCTGGACTGGCTCTGGGATCCCCGGGATGCCCAGGAAAGAATGGCAGTTCTCCGCTGGGTGGAGCCTCTCACCAGGCCTAGACCTAGAAGGCAGGAATCCCAGGCCGGTCAGCCTGGTGGATGGGGCGGGGGGAAGACACGTCCCTCCATAGCCAGCCAGGTGTTCCCCGGGAAACACAGGCCACCGCCCTGCCCCGACCCGACCCCTTCCCAACCCCGCGTCCTAAAGCTCCTCTAGCAGAACCCAGTATTCTTCCTCGCTGAGGGGTGCTTCCAGCGAGGCGGCCTCCTCCAAGGCCTCCAGCTCCCGCGGGTCCTCCGTTTCTAGGAAAGGTTGTGCCTGCTGCAGAAACTCCGGGCTCGCCAGGAGCTCATCCAGCAGCAGGCCGGAGGGGAGTGCAGAAGAGCGCCCCGGCTCCTGGAGCACCTGGGAGGGCGCCGGGATGCCTTGCATCTGCCCCTGCCACATGGATGCCTCCGGGGTCGTGGGCTGGGGAGGTGGAGCTGCCCCGGCTTGGTGCTCCCACGGCTCCCCTGCGACCTGGGGACCCCGGCCCCAGCCCCACCATGGACTCCCCTGGGACGCGGGTGGTGCAAGCACTCCTTGGCCCTGTGGCCCTGCTTGAGAGGTCCCAGGCTGTCCCACTGGGCAAGGGCCCGGAAGGCCGTCGCGCTGCGGGACCCGGTTCTCCCGGCTTTTGCCCGGGTGCGGAGGCCACCGAGGAGCCTCAGGGTGGGAGAGCGCCCCTTCCGGAGGAGCCGGGGTGGCATAGCCAAAATCCCTGCATGCCGGGGCAGGTTGGGAGATACCCTCTGCCGGCGCGGCCTGGCTGGGCTGGAGCTCGGGGACGGCCCTCGCTCCCTGGCCCACGAAAGCCCCCTGAGGGAGAGCCCCAGGCGCGCAGGGCACGTGGGTTGAGGGAAGCCTCATTCCCCACGTGGCGGTGAGGGCAACGGCGACCCACGAGGGAGCAGGGTGACACCCATTGGGGGCCGCTTTGTTAAGGAAGCCTGCCTGCGCGGACGCCCTGCCAGCCTGTCCCGGGTGCCTGGGCCTTCGATTCTGAAACCAGATCTGAATCCTGGACTCCGGGAGGCCCGTGTCTCTGGCCAGCTCTTCCCTGTCGGCGATTCCTGGAAAACGATCTTTCTCAAAGGCTCGGAGGAGCAGGGTGTTCTGGGATCCGGTAACGGCGACCCGCTTTCGCCTGCCTTCTTGCTGGCCGCGTCTCCCAGGCCAGGGCCGAGATTCCCGCTGGTGCTGAAGTAGCTGGCGTGACCTCTCATTCTGAAACCAAATCTGGACCCTGGGCTCCGGAATGCCGATGGCCTGGGCCAGTCATTCTCTGGTGGCGATGCTGGGGTACAGGTTCCATTCAAAGCAGGCTCACATGGCCTCGCTTTGGGTCGGGGTCCAAAGGAATCACCTTCGCCGTCCCCGTCCCCGGGCTTCTGCGGGGAGGGTGCTTTCTGAAGGTGTCGGGAGGGCCATCGCGGGGAGCCCCAGCCGGAATTTCACAGACGGACACTGGCAGAGAGAGGCCGGCGGGCACCCGTGCAACTCAGCTGGCCTGTGCACTGTGGCAGGTGCAGCCAGGAGGCCTGCACGGACAGCCAGCCAGCGGCTCTTATAAAGGCCCGAAGGCAGGTAGGCTCCATCCCTTCACGAATGGTTGTGAGCCCTCGGACAGCCCGCCCCACCACGGAAGGATCCCAGGGCCTCGAGTCCTGTGGCAGGGGTGTGGTGGAGTGGGGTGGGAGGGCGTGGTGATGGCCGTGGTGGGGCCGGAGACACGAAGAGGAAGTGGGAGAGGGGGAAGGTGTGGGGCGGGGGCGTTTCAGGCGCTGGCTCTTAGGACTGCTCCAGGAATCCCGAGGGAACTGGAAGCCACTCTCTGGGCTCCCATGCGTCTTCAGCAGGGAGAAACCGGCCTGCGAGGGTGGAGGGGAGTGTAGAACTGAATATCCATGGGAGTCTTGAGTGTTCCAGGCCCTCTCTCCGTGAAGGAGGCAGTGCCTGTGGGTGTCGCCATTGCCAGCGCAGTCTCACAAAGGCAGGCGTTTGGCTCTCGTTCATTTCCACGTAGGAGACCAGAGCCAGACCCCAGAGAGAAGATGCCTCCACGGCGTGATGGCCTGACGATGGATTCCTGTGTGCGGCAACATGGGAAGTCTGCAGTGTGGCCGGTTTGGAAACTGGCAAGAGAGCGAAGGCACCATACCAGTCTTCCACCCTTCCCTGCATGTTTCCGGGGGCCTGCAGAGCTCCGGGAGCAAACAGTCAGCATGACACATCTCTGAACTGATCAACAAAGTGATGTAACTCTTGTCTAGGTTCTACCTACAAGGGCTTTGTGACATATCACTGCACTGATCACCCAGGTCATTCAACTCTTGTCTAGGATCTGCCTACAGGGGGTATTGTGAAATATCTCTGCACTGATCAACTAGGTGATGTTACCCTTGCTAGGCTCTGCCTACAGGGGCGTTTTCACATACCCCTGAACTGATGACAAAGGTGATGTAACTCATGCCTAGACTTTGCCTACAGGGCACATTGTGACATATCTCTGCACTGATCACTCAGGTGATGTAACTATTGTCTAGGCTCTGCTTAAAAGGGCCTTGTCACATATCTCTGCACTGATCATCCAGGAGATGTAACTCTTGCCTAGGATCTGCTTACAGGTGGTATTGTGACATATCTCTGCACTGATCACCTAAGTGATGTAACAGTTGTGTAGGCTCTGCCTACAGGGGCACCTTGACATATCTCTGCACTGTTAACCGAGGTGATGTAACACTTGTCTAGGCTGTGCCCACAGGGGGATTGAGACATATCTCTGCAATGATCGCGAGGTGATCGAAGTCTTGCGTGGTCTCTGCCTACTGGGGACATTGTGACATATCTCTGCACTGATCTCCCAGGTTCTGTAACTTTAATCTAGTCTCTGGCTACAAGGCATTGTGACATATCACTGCACTGATCACCCAGATGATATAACTCTTGTCTAGGCTCTACCTACAGGGGGATTGTGACATATCTCTGCAATGATAACCCAGATGATATAACTCTTCTCTAGGATCTGCCTACATGGTGATTTGTGACATATACCTGCAATGATCACCCAGGTGATATACCACTTGTCAAGGCTCTGCCTAGAGGGGTATTGCAATGTATCTCTGCAGTGATCATCTAGGTCATGTAACTCCTGTCTAGGCTCTGCCTACAGTGGCATTGTGACATATCTCTGCACTGATCAACCAGGTGATGTAACTCTTTTCTAGGATCTGCCTACAGGGTGCTTTGTGACATATCCCTGCAATGATCACCCAGGTGATGTACCACTTGTCAAGACTCAGCCTACAGAGACATTGTGATGTATCTCTGCACTGATCACCTAGGTCATGTAACTCTTTTCTAGGCTCTGCCTACCGTGGCATTTTGACATATCTTTGCACTGATCACCCAGGTGATGTAACAATTATCTAGGATCCGCCTAAAGGGACTTTGTGACATAACTCTGCACTGATCATCCAGGTGATGGAGCATTTGTCTACGATCTGCCTAAGGGGGCATTGTGACATATTTCTGCACTGATCACCCAGGTGACGGACTCTTGTCTTGGATCTGCCTATGGGGGCATTGTGACATACCTCTGCACTGATCACCCAGGTGATATAACTGCTGTATAAGCTGTGCCTACAGGGGAATTGTGAGAGATCTCGCCACTGATCACCCAAGTGATGAAACTATTGTCTAGGCTTTGCCTACAATGACATACCTTTGCACTGATAATCCAGGTGATGTAACTCATCTAAGTCCTGCCTACAGGAGCTTAGTGACATATCTCTGCACTGATCACTTAGGTGATTTCACACTTTTATAAGCACTGCCTACAGGGAATTTTGACAAATCTCTGCACTGATCACCTAGGTGACGTAAACCTTGTCTACCCACTGCCCAAAGGGGGCACTGGGAAATATCTCTGCACTGATCACCCAGGTGATTCAACTCTTGTCTAGGTTCTGCCTACAAGGGGTAATGTGAAATATCTCTGCACTGATCAACTAGGTGATGTAACTCTTGTCTAGGCTCTGACTACAGGGTACATTGTGACATATCTCTGCACTGATCACCCAGGTGATGCAACTCTTCTCTATGCTGTGCCTACAGGGGACATTGTGACATATCTCTGAACTGATCACCCAGGTGATGCAACTCTTTTCTATGCTCTGCCTACAGGGGGCATTGTGATATATCGCTGCACTAATCACCCAGGTGATTCCACTCTTGTCTAGGATCTGCCTACAGGGGGTATTGTGAAATACCTCTGCACTGATCAACTTGGTGATGTAACTCTTGTCTAGGCTCTGCCTGCAGGGGTGTTTTCACATATCCCTGAATTGATGACAAAGGTGATGTAACTCTTGTCTAGGCTCTGCCTATGGGGGCATTGTGACTTATCTCTGCACTGATCACGCAGGAGATGTGACACTTGTCTAAGCTCTGCCTAGAGGGACATTGGGACATGTCACTGCACTGATCTCTGAGGTGATGTAAAACTTGTCTAGGCTTTGCTTACAGTGGGATTTATGACATATCTCTGCACTGATCACCCAGGTGATGTAACTCTTGTCTAGGCTCTGCTTACAGGGGGTATTGTGAGATATATCTGCACTGATCACTCAGGCGATGTAACCCTGGTCTAGGCTCTGCCTACAGGGGCATTTTCACATATCACTGTACTGATCATGGAGATAATGTAACTCTTGTATAGGCTTTGCCTACAGGGGACATTGAGACATATCTCTTCACTGATCACCGAGGTGATGTATCTCTTGTCTATGCTCTGCCTACTGGAGACATTGTGATATATCTCCGCACTGATAACCCAGGTGATGTCACTTTTGTCAAGGATATGGCTACAGGGAGATTGTGACATGTCACTGCACTGATCACATAGCTGATGTAACACTTGTCTAGGCTCTGGCAACACGGAGCTTGTGACACATCTATGCACTGATCACCCAGGTGATGTAAACCTTGTCTAGGCTCTGCCAAAAGGAGGCATTGTGACATAACTCTGCAATGATCACCCAGCTGATGGGACTCTTGTCCAGGCTCTGCCTACAGAGGCATTGTGACGTGTCTACTCAGTGATCACGCAGGTGATGTAACTCATGTCTATATCTGCCTACTGGCGGCATTGTGTCATATTTCTGCACTGATCACCCTGGTGATGGACTCTTGTCTTGGATCTGCCTATGGGGGCATAGTGACATATCTCTGCACTGATCGCTCATGTGATGTAATGCTTGTCTAAGCTGTGCCTAAAAGGGAATTATGACAGATATCTCCACTGATAACCCAGGTGATGTAACAATTTTCTGGGATTTGTCTACACGGCCTTTGTGACATATATTTGCACTGATCACCCAGCAGATGTAACTCTTGTCTAGGATCGGCCTTCAGGGGCATTGTGACATATTTCTGTACTGATCAACCAGGTGATGTAACTCTTGTCTAGGCCCCGCCTACAGGGGGTATTGTGACGTATCTCTGCACTGATCAGCCAGGTGATGTAATATTTATCTAGGATCTGCCTACAGGGGTGTTTGACATAGCTTTGCACAGATCACCTAGGTTATGTTACTCTTGTACACTCTCTGCTTACAGGGGGCATTGTGAAATATCTCTGCACTGATCACCCAGGTGATGTAACAGTTGTCTAGGCTCTGCTTACAGGGGGTATTGTGAGTTATCTCTGCGCTGATCACTAAGGTGATGGAAGTCTTCTCTAGGCTCTGTCTATGGGTGCATTGTGTCATATATCTGCACTGATCATCCAGGTGATGTAACTCTTGTCTAGGCTCTGCCTACAGGGTCATTTTAACATATCACTGCACTGATCACCGAGATGATGTAACTCTTGTATAGGCTTCGCCGACAGGGGGCATTGAGACATATCTCTGCACTGATCAAAGTGGTGATGCAACTCTTGTCTGGGATCTGCCTACAGGGGACATTGTGACATATCTCTGCACTGATCACCCTCGTGATGCAACTCTTCTCTATGCTCTGCCTACAGGAGACATTGTGAAATATATCTGCATTGATCACCCTGGTGAAGCAACTCTCCTCTATGCTCTGCCTACAGGGGGCATTGTGACATATCTCTGCACTGATCACCCTGGTTATGTAACTCTTGTCTAGGCTCTGCCTACGAGGGCATTGTGACTTATCTCTGCACTGATCACCCAGGAGATGTAACTTTTGTCTAGGCTCTGCCTACTGGAGACATTGTGACATACCTCCACACAGATCACCCAGGTGATGTCACTTTTGTCAAGGATATGGCCACAGGGACATTGTGACATGTCACTACACTGATCACACAGCTGATGTAACACTTGTCTAGGCTCTGGCTACAGGGGGCTTGTGACACATCTCTGCACTGATCATCCAGGTGATGTAACCCTTATCTAGGCTCTTCCAAAAGGGGCACTGTGAAATAAATCTGCACTGATAACCCAGGTGATGGGACTCTTGTCTAGGCTCTGCCTACAGGGGCATTGTGACATATCTCTGCAGTGATCACGCAGGTGATGTAACTCTTTTCTATATCTGCCTACTGGCGGCATTGTGGCATATTTCTCCACTGATCACCCGGGTGATGGACTCTTGTCTTGGATCTGCCTATGGGGGCATAGTGACGTATCTCTGCACTGATCAGTCATGTGGTGTAACGCTTCTCTAACATGAGCCTAAAGGGGAATTGTGACAGACATCTCCACTGATCACCCAGGTGATGTAGCAATTTTCTCGGATTTGCCTACAGGGTGGTTTATGACATATCATTGCACTGATCACCCAGGAGATGTAACTCTTGTCTAGGCTCTGCCTACAGGGGCTTTGAGACATATTTCTGCACTGATCACCCAGGTTATATAACTCTTGTCTAGGCTTTGCCTACAGGGGGTTTTTGACATATCTCTGCACTGATCACCCAGGTGATATAACTCTTCCCTAGGATCTGCCTACAGGGTGCTTTGTGACATATCCCTGCAATGATCACCCAGGTGATATATCACTTGCCAAGGCTCTGCCTACAGGGGCATTGCAATGTATCTCTGCACTGATCACCTAGGTCAGGTAACTCTTGTCTAGGCTCTGCCTACAGTGGCATTGTGATATACCTCTACACTGATCACCCAGGTGATGTAACTCTTTTCCAAGATCTGCCTACAGGGTGCTTTGTGGCACATCCCTGAAATGATCACCCAGGTGATGTACCACTTGTCAAGGCTCTGCCTACTGGGAAATTGCGATGTATCTCTGCACTGATCACCTAGGTCTTGTAACTCTTGTCTAGGCTCTGCCTACAGTGGCATTGTGACATATCTCTGCACTGATCATCCAAGTGAAGTAACACTTGTCTAGGATCTGCCTAAAGGGATTTTGTGATATAATTCTGCACTGATAATCCAGGTGATGGGGCCTTTGTCTAGGATCTGCTTAAGGGGGCATTGTGACAAATTTCTCCACTGATCACCCAGGTGACGGACTCTTCTCTTGGATCTGCCTATGGGGACACTGACACATCTCTGCTCTGATCACCCAGGTGATGTAACTGTTTTATAAGCTCTGCAGACAGGGGAATTGGAAGAGATCTCGCCACTGATCACCCAAGTGATGTAACTATTGTCTAGCCTTTGCCTACAGGGGGCTTTATGACATACCTTTGCACTGATCACCCAGGTGATGTATCTCATCTAAGTTCCGCCTACAGGAGCTTTGTGACATATCTCTGCACTGATCACTTAGGTGATGTAACACATTTCTAGGCACTGCCTACAGGGAAATTTGACAAGTCTCTGCAATGATCACCTAGGTGATGTAACTCTTTTCTACCCTCTGCCCAAAGTGGGCATTGTGAAATATCTCTGCACTGATCACCCAGGTGATTCAACTCTTGTCTAGGATCTGCCTACAGGGGGTATTGTGAAATATCTCTGCACTGATCAACTAGGTGATGTAACTCTTGTCTAGGCTCTGCCTACAAGGGCGTTTTCACATATCCCTGAACTGATGACACAGCTGATGTGAGTCTTGCCTATGCTTTGCCTACAGGGGACGTTGTGACATATCTCTGCACTGATCACCCTCGTGATGCAACTCTTCTCTATGCTCTGCCTACAGGAGACATTGTGAAATATATCTGCATTGATCACCCTGGTGATGCAACTCTCCTCTATGCTCTGCCTACAGGGGCATTGTGACATATCTCTGCACTGATCACCCTGGTTATGTAACTCTTGTCTAGGCTCTGCCTACGGGGGCATTGTGACTTATCTCTGCACTGATCACCCAGGAGATGTAACTTTTGTCTAGGCTCTGCCTACTGGAGACATTGTGACATACCTCCACACAGATCACCCAGGTGATGTCACTTTTGTCAAAGATATGGCTACAGGGACATTGTGACATGTCACTGCACTGCATACACAGCTGATGTAACAGTTGCCTAGGCTCTGGCTAACGGGGGCTTGTGACACATCTCTGCACTGATCACCCATGTGATGTATCCCTTGTCAAGGCTCTGCCAAAAGGGGGCATTGTGACATAACTCTTCACTGATCACCCATGTGATGGGACTCTTGTCTAGGCTCTGCCTACAGGGACATTGTGACGTATCTCTGCAGTGATCACGCAGGTGATGTACCTCTTGTCTATATCTGCGTACTGGCGGCATTGTGGCATATTTCTGCATTGATCACACAGGTGATGGACTCTTTTCTTGGATCTGCCTATAGAGGCATAATTACATATCTCTGCACTGATCACTCATGTGATGTAACGCTTGTCTAAGCTGCGCCTAAAGGGGAATTGTGACAGATATCTCCAGTGATCACCCAGGTGATGGAACAATTTTCTGGGATTTGTCTACAGGGGGTTTTGTGACATATCTTTGCACTGATCACCCAGGAGATGTAACTCTTGGTTAGGGTCTGCCTACAGGGGCTTTGTGACATATCTCTACACTGATCACCCATGTGATGTAACTCTTTTCTAGGCTCCACCTAAAGGGGTTATTTTGACATATATCTGCACTGATCACCCAGGTGATGTAACTCTTGTCAAGGCTAAACCTACAGGGGGTATTGTGAAGTATCTCTTCCCTGATCACCCAGGTGATGTAACTCTTGTCTAGGCTCTGCCTGCAGGGGCTTTGTGACATATTTCTACACTGATCACCAAGGAGATGTAATTCTTGTTTAGGCTTTGCCTACTGGGTCTTAGTGATATATTTCTGTACTGATCACCCAGGTGATGTAACTGTTCTGTAGTTTCCACCTTGCAGAGTTATTTTGACGTATCTCTGCACTGATTACCCAGGTGATGTAACCCTTGTCTAAGCTCTGCCTACAGGGGCATTGTGACAGCTCTCTCCACTGCTCACCCAGGTGATGTAACAATTGTCTGGGCTTTGCCTACAGGGGGCTTTGTGATATACATTTCCACTGATCAAACAGGTGATGTAACCCTTGTCAAGGTTCTGCTTACAGGGGCTTTGTGACATATCTCTGCACTGATCATCCCAGGGAGGAAACATTTATCTACACTCTGCCTACAGGAGGTTTTAGTACTTACCCCTGCACTGATCACTAGGTGATGTAACACTTGTCTAGGCTCTGTCTACACAGGAATTTTCACTTATCTCTACACTGATCACCTAAGTGATGTAAACCTTTTCTAGGTTCATCCTACTGGGGATTTCTCACATACCTATGCACTGATCACCGAGGTGATGTAAATCATTTCCAGGCTTTTTGTGCAAGAGACATTGTGATATATCTCTGCACTGATCACCCAAATGATGCAAATCTTCTCTAGGCTCCGCAGGGAGGGGGAATTGTGACATATTTCTGAACTAATCATCCAGGAGATGTAACTGTTCTCCAGGCTTTGACTAAAGAGAGTCGGAAGGTGTCCGGAAAGCCTCAGCCAGAATTTCACTGACGGACAGGGGCACAGAGAGGTCAGCGGGCTCCCTTGCACGTCAGCCGGGGTGCACAATGAGCGCAGGTCTAGCCAGGAGGCCGGCAAAGAGAGTTAGAGGTTTGCGTTCCGCCACCAGTCGTTCCATGGTGGCAGCTGGGAGGCTGCTGGGGCACGGGCGGGCCGCTGACGGTATCGCGGGGGCGCAGAGTAGGCCAGCCGCCGGAGGGGTGTCAGGCCCGGACGCTGTGCGGGTCCGGTGTTTCACAGGACATGGGTCTCACCCAGCCCAGGGGAGGACGCATTTTCTGAGGGTTGGGGGTGGGGTGGGGTGGGGATCGTCAGGCGGGGGTGGGGTGGTGGAAAGGCATGAGAGCTCTGCCTGGGCTGTTCCCACAGCAAAGGCGGCTGCCCGCCTACCCGCACGTGCGCAGTAGGCGGCCCACTTGCTGGTACCTTGGCCGGCTCTGTGGTCCCCAGGATGCCTAGGAAAGAATAGCAGTTCTCCCCATTGTGGAGCGTCTCACCGGGCCTAGACCTAGAAGGCAGGAATCTCAGGCCAGTCAGCCCGGTGGAGGTGGTGGGAGGAAGACACGCCCCTCCATAGCCAGCCAGTTGTTCCCCATTAAGCAGAGGCCACCGCCCTGCCCCGACCCGACCCCGTCCCAACCCAGAGAGATAAATCTCTTCCTGCAGAGCCCGGTATTCTTCCTCGCTGAGGGGTGCTTCCAGAGAGGCGGCCTCTTCCAAGGCCTCCAGTTCCACCGGGGCCTCTGTTTCTAGGAAAGGTTACCCCTGCTGCAGAAAATCCGGGCTCGCCAGGAGCTCACCCATCAGCAGGACGGAGGGGAGTGCAGAGGAGCGCCCCAGCTCCTGGAGCACCTGGGAAGGCGTCGGGATGCCTTGCATCGGCCCCTGCCATGTGGAGGCCTCCAGGAGCACGGGCTGGCTAGGTGGATCTGCCCCGGCTTGTGGTTCCCACGCCGCCCCGGCGACCTGGGGACCCCGGCACCAGCCCTGCCACAGACTCCCCTGGGACGCGGGTGGTGCAAGCACACCTTGGCCCTTTCATCCCGCTAGAGCAGGCCCAGGCTGTCCCACCGTGCAAGGGCCTGGCAGGCCATCGCGCTGTAGATCCCAGTCCTCCCAGCTTTTGCCCGGGTGCGGAGGCCACCGAGGAGCCTGAGGGTGGGAGAGTGCCGCTTCTGGAAGAGCCGGGGCAGCGTAGGCAAAATCCCTGCGTGCCAGGGCAGGTTGGGAGATCCCCTCTGCCGGTGCAGCCTGGCTGGGCTGGAGCACGGGGTCGGCCCTCGGTTCATGGCTCACGAAAGCCCCCTGTGGGAGAGCCCCAGGCATGCAGGGCACGTGTGGTGCAGGAAGCCCCATTCCCCAAGTGCCGGTGTTGGCGATGGCGACCCACGAGGGAAAAGGGAGACACCCGCCAGGGACCGCGATACACCGGCCGCCTGCCTACACGTGTACCCTGCCAGCCTTCCCCGGGTGCCTGGCTCTTTGATTCTGAAACCAGATCTGAATCCTGGACTCCGGGAGGCCCGTCTCTCTGGCCAGCTCTTCCCTGGCGGCGATGCCTGGAAAGGAATCCTACTCAAAGGCTCTGAGGCGCAGGGCGGTCTGGGACCCAGTGATGGCGGTCCGCTTTTGCCTGCCTTCTTGCGGGCCGCATCTCCCGGTCCAGGGCCGAGATTCCCACTGGTGCTCCCTCAGCTGGCGTGACCTCTCTTTCTGAAACCAGATCTGGACCCTGGGCTCCGGAATCCCGATGGCCTGGGCCAGCCATTCTCTGGTGGCGATGCCCGGGTACGGGTTCCACTCAAAGCAGGCTCACAGGGCCTCACTTTGGCTCGGGGTGCAAACGAGTCTCTTTCGCCGTCCCCGTCCCTGGGCTTCCGCAGGGAGGGTGCCGTCCGAAGGTGTCGGGAGGGTCATCGCGGGGAGCCCCGTCCGGAAATTCAGGAACGGACACGGGCAGAGAGAGGCCGGTGGGCTCCCGTGCAACTCAGCCAGCCTGTGCACTGCCGCAGGTGGAGCCAGGAGGCCTGCCAGGACAGCCAGCCAGCGGCTCCTATAAAGGCCCACAGGCAGGCAGGCTCCACCCCTTCATGAATGGCGGTGAGCCCTGGGACAGCACGCCACATCCTGGAAGGGTACCAGGGCGCCGAGGCCTGTGGCCGGTGGCTGGTGAGGTGGGAGGGAGGGCGTGGTGATGGGGGTGGTGGGGCAGGAGATATGAAGAGGAAGGGGGCGAGGGGGAAGGGGTGAGGAGGGTGCGTTTTGGGAGCTGGCTCTTCGGACCTCTCAAGGAATCCCGTGGGAACTGGAAGCCACTCTCTGGGCTCCCACGCGTCTTCAGCAGGGAGAAGCCGGCCTGGGAGGGTGGAGGGGAGTGTGGAACTGAACCTCCGTGGGAGTCTTGAGTGTTCCAGGCCCTCTCCGTGAAGGAGGCAGTGCCTGTGGGTGTCGCTGTTGCCGGGACAATCTCACACACGCAGCCGTGTTGCTCTCATTCATTTTCACGTAGAAGACCAGAGCGAGAACCCAGAGAGAAGATGCCTCCCCGGCGTGATGGCCTGACATTGGATTCCCGTGTGCGGCAATATGGGGAGTCTGCAGTGTGGCCGGTTTGGAAACTGGCAAGGAGAGCAAAGGCACCATGCCAGTCTTCCACCCTTCCCTGCATGTTTCCGGGTGACCGCAGAGCTCCGGGAGCAAACATTCAGCATGAAACATCTCTGAACTCATCAACAAAGTGATGTAACAGTTGTCTAGGCTCTGCCTACAGGTGCTTTGTGACATATCTGTGCACTGATCACCCAGGTGATGGGACTTTTGTCTAGACTCTGCCTATGGGTGCATTGTGAGATATCTCTACACTGATCAACCAGGTGATGTAACTCTTGTGTTGGATCAGCCTATGGGGACATTGTGACATATTTCTGCACTGATCACCCAGATGAAGGGACCCTTGTCTAGGCTCTGCGTATGGGGCTTTGTGACATATCTCTGCACTGATCACCCAGGCGAAGTAAAGCATGACTAGGCTCTGCCTACAGGGCATAGTGACATATCACTGCATTGATCACCAAGGTGATGTAACTCTTGTCCAAACTCTGCCTATAGGGGGCCTTGTGACATATCTCTGCACTGATCATCTTGGTGATGTAACTATTGCTTATGCTCTCCCTGCAGGGGCATTGTGAAATATCAGAGCACTGATCACCCAGGTGATGGGACTCTTCTCTAGGCTCTGCCTACTTGGGGCATTGTCACATATTTCTGCACTGATCAGCCAGGTGACAGGCTCTTGTCTTGGATTTGCCTAAGGAGGCATTGTGACATGTCTCTGCACTGATCACCCAGGTGATATAAGTCTGGTCTAAGCTCTGCCTTAAGGGGCATTGTGACAGATCTCTGCACTGATCACTCAGCTGATGTAAGTATTTTCTAGGCTCTGCTTAAAGGGGCCTTGTCACATATGTCTACACTGATCACCCAGGTGATGTAACACTTGTCTAGGCTCTGCTTACAGGGGATATTGTGACATATCTCTGCACTGATCACCTAAGTGATGTAACTCTTGTGTAGGCTCTGCCTACAGGGCATTTTGACATATCTCTGCACTGTTAACCGAGGTGATGTAACTTGTCTACGCTGTGCCCACAGGAGGATTGAGACATATCTCTGCACTGATCCCGAGGTGATCCAACTCTTGCCTGGTCTCTGTCTACTGGGGACATTGTGACATATCTCTGCACTGATCTCCCAGGTACTGTAACTTTAGTCTAGGTTCTGGCTACACGGCATTGTGACATATCTCTGCACTGATCACCCAGGTGATATATCTCTCTTCTAGGATCTGCCTACAGGGTGCTTTGTGACATATCCCTGCAATGATCACCCAGGTGATATACCGCTTGTAAGGGCTCTGCCTACAGGGACATTGGGATGTATCTCTACACTGATCACCTAGGTCATGTAACTCTTGTCTAGGCTATGCCTACAGTGGCATTGTGACATATCTCTGCACTGATCACCCAGGTGATGTAACTCTTTTCTAGGATCTGCGTACAGGGTGCTTTGTGACATATCCCTGCAATGATCACCCAGGTGATGTACCACTTGTCAAGGTTCTGCCTACAGGGACATTGCGATGTATCTCTGCACTGATCACCTAGGTCATGTAACCCTTGTCTAGGCTCTGCCTACAGTGGCATTGTGACATGTCTCTGTACTGATCATCCAAGTGATGTAACTCTTATCTAGGATCTGCCTAAAGGGACTTTGTGACATAACTCTGCACTGATCATCCAGGTGATGAGGCTTTTGTCTAGGCTCTGCCTAAGGGGGCATTGTGACATATTTCTGCACAGAGCAACCAGGTGATGGACTCTTGTCTTGGATCTGCCTATGGGGGCATTGTGACATATCTCTGCACTGATCACACAGGAGATGTAACTGTTGTATGAGCTCTGCCTACAGGGAAATTCTGAGAGATCTCTCTACTGAACACCCAAGTGTTGTAACTATTGTCTAGGCTTTGCCTACAGGGGACATTGTGACATATCTCTGCAATGATCACCCAGGTGATGCATCTCTTCTCTATGCTCTGCCTACAGGGGACATTGCGACATATCTTTGCACTGATCACCCAGGTGATGCAACTCTTCTCTATGCTCTGACTACAGGGGACATTGTGACACATCCCTGCACTGATCAGCCAGGTGATGCAACTCTTCTCTATGCTCTACCTACAGGGGGAATTGTGACATATCTGTGCCCGGATCACCCAGGTGATGTAACTCTTTTCTAGTGTCTGCCTACAGAGGGCGTTGTGACATCACTCTGCACGGATCACCCGTGTTATGTAACTCTTGTCTAGGCTCTGCGTACAGGGGCATTGTGACTTATCTCTGCACTGATCACCCAGGAGATGTGACTCTTGTCTAAGCTCTGCCTAGAGGGACATTGGGACATATCTCTGCACTGATCGCTGGGGTGATGTAAAACTTGTCTAGGCTTTGCCTACAGTGGGTTTTATGACATATCTCTGCATTGGTCACCCAGGTGATGTAAGTCTTGTCTGGGCTCTGCTTACAGGGGTTATTGTGAGATATCTCTGCACTGATCACCCAGGTGATGTAACTCTTGTCTAGCCTCTCCCTACAGGGGCATTTTAACATATCACTGCACTGATCACCGAGGTGATGTAACTCTTATATAGGCTTCGGCAACAGGGGTCATTGAGACATATCTCTGCACTGATCACCGAGGTGATGCAACTCTTGTCTGGGATCTGCTTACGTGGGGCATTTTGACATATCTCTGCCCTGATCACCCAGGTGATGTAACTCTTATCTAGGCTCTGCCTATTGGAGACATTGTGACATATCTCCGCACTCATCACCCACGTTATGTCACTTTTGCCAAGGATATGGCTACAGGGACATTGTGACATGTCACTGCACTGATCACACAGCTGATGTAACTCTTGTCTAGGCTCTGGCTACAGGGGCTTTTGACACATCTCTGCACTGATCACCCAGGAGATGTAACACTTGACTAGGCTTGGCCTACAGGGGATTTGTGACATATTTCTGCATTGATCACCCAGGTGATGTAACTCTTGCTTAGGCTCTGACTACAGGGGCTTTGTGACATATTTCTGTACTGATAACCCAGGTGATGTAACTCTTTTCTAGGCTCCACCTACAGGGGGTATTGTGACATATCTCTGCACTGATCAACCAGGTGACGGATTGTTTTCTTGGATTTGCCTATGGGGGCATTGTGACATATATCTGCACTGATAACGCAGGTGATGTAACACTGGTCTAAGCTCTGCCTAAAGGGGCATTGTGACAGGTCTCTGCTCTGATCACTCAGGTGATGTAAGCATTTTCTAGGGTTTGCCTACAGAGGGCTTTGTGACATACCTTTGCACTGATCACTCAGGTGATGTAACACATCTACGTTTGCCAACAGGAGCTTTGTGCCATATCTCTGCACGGATCTCTTCGGTGATGTAACACTTTTATAAGCACTGCCTACAGGGAATTTTGACAAATCTCCCCACTGATCACCTTGGTGATGTAACTCTTTTCTAGGATCTGCCTACAGGGTGCTTTGTGACATATCTCTGCACTGATCACCCAGGTGATTCAACTCTTGTCTAGGATATGCCTACAGGGGGTATTCTGAAATATCTCTGCACTGATAAACTAGGTAATGTAAGACTTGCCTAGGCTCTGCCTACAGGGGCTTTTTCACATATCCCTGAATTGATGACCAAGGTGATGTAACTCTTGCCTAGGCTTTGCCTACAGGGGACATTGTGACATAACTCTGCAGTTATCACCCAGGTGATGCAACTCTTCTCTATGCTCTGCCTACAGGGGACATGGTGACATATCTCTACACTGATCACCCAGGTGATGTACCTATTTTCTATTCTCTGCCTACAGAGGGCGTTGTGACATCACTCTGCACGGGTCACCTGGGTTATGTAACTCTTGTCTAGGATCTGCCTATGGGAACACTGTGACTTATGTCTGCACTGATCACCCAGGAGATGTGACTCTTGTCTAAGCTCTGCCTATAGGCATATTGGGACATATCTCTGCACTGATCTCTGAGGTGACATAAAATTTGTCTAGGCTTTTCCTACAGTGGGATTTATGTCATATCTCTGCACTGATCACCCAGGTGATGTAACTCTTGTCTAGGCTCTGCCTACAGGGGCTATTGTGTGATATCCCTGCACTGATCACCCAGGTGATGTAACTCTTGTCTAGGCTCTGCCTACAGGGGCATTTTCACATATCACTGCACTGATCACAGAGATGATGTAACTCTTGTATAGGCTTCGACGACAGGGGCATTGAGACATATCTGTGCACTGATCACCGAGGTGATGCAACTCTTGTCTTGGATCTGCTTATAGGGGGCATTGTGACATATCTCTGCCCTGATCACCCAGGTGATGTAACTCTTGTCTAGGCTCTGCCTACTGGAGACATTGTGACATATCTCTGCACTGATCACCCAGGTGATGTCACTTTTGTCAAGGATATGGCTACAGGGACATTGTGACATGTAAATGCACGATCACACATCTCATGTAACTCTTGTCTAGGCTCTGGCTAGAGGTGGCTTGTGACACATCTTTGCACTGATCACCCATGTGAAGTAACTATTGTTTAGGCTCTGCTTAAAGGGACCTTGTCGCATATCTCTGCACTTATCACCCAGGTGATGTAACACTTGTTTAGGCTCTGCTTACAGAAGGTATTGTGACATATCTCTGCACTGATCACCTAAGTGTTGTAACAATTGTGTAGGCTCTGACTACAAGGGTATTTTGAAATATCCCTGCACTGTTAACCGAGGTGATGTAACTCTTGTATAGGCTGTGCCCACAGGGGAATTGAGACATAACTCTGTACTGATCACGAGGTGATCCAACTCTTGCCTGGTCTCTGCCTACTGGGGACATTGTGACATATCTCTGCACTGATCTCCCAGGTGCTGTAACTTTAATCTCGGCTCTGGCTACACGGCATTGTGACATATCACTGCACTGATCACCCAGATTATATAACTCTTGTCTAGGCTCTGCCTACAGGGGGCTTGTGACATATCTCTGCACTGATCACCCAAGTGATATAACAATTCTCCAGGATTTGCCTACAGGGTGCTGTTTGACATATCCCTGCAATGATCTCCCAGGTGATATACCACTTATCAAGGCTCTGCCTACAGGGGCATTGCCATGTATCTCTGCACTGATCACCTAGGTCATGTAACTCTTGTCTAGGCTCTGCCTACAGTGGCATTGTGACATATCTCTTCACTGATCACTCAGGTGATGTAACTCTTTACTAGGATCTGCCTAAATGGTGCTTTGTGACATCTCACTGCAATGATCACCCAGGTGATGTACCACTTGTCAAGGCTCAGCCTACAGGGACATTGCGATGTATCTCTGCACGGATCACCTAGGTCATGTGAAACTTGTCTAGGCTCTGCCTACAGTGGTATTGTGGCATATCTCTGCACTGATCATCCAAGTGATATAACTCTTGTCTAGGATCTGCCTAAAGGGACTTTGTGACATAACTCTGCACTAATCATCCAGGTGATGGGGCTCTTGTCTAAGCTCTGCCTAAGGGGGCATTGTGACATATTACTGCACTGATCACCCAGGTGACGGACTATTGTCTTGAATCTGCCTATGGAGGCATCATGACGTATCTCTGCACTGATCACCCATGTGATGTAACTGTTGTATATGCTTCGCCTACAGGGGAATTGTGAGAGATCTCGCCACTGTTCACGCAAGTGATGTAACTATTGTCTAGGCTTTGCCTACAGAAGTCTTTGTGACATACCTTTGCACTGTTAACCCAGATAGTGTAACTCAACTAAGTTCTGCCTTCAGGAGCTTTGTGACATATCTCTGCACTGATCACTTAGGTGATGTAACACTTTTATAAGCACTGCCTACAGGGAATTTTGACGAATCTCTGCACTGATCACCTAGGTGAAGTAACTCTTGTCTACCCTCTGCCCAAAGGGGGCATTGTGAAATATTTCTCCACTGATCACCCAGGTGATTCAACTCTTTTCTAGGATCTGCCTACAGGGGTTATTGTGAAATATCTCTGCACTGCAAAACTAGGTGATGTAACACTTGTCTAGGCTCTGCCTACATGGGCGTTTTCACATATCCCTGAACTGATGACAAAGGTGATGTAACTCTTGCCTAGCCTTTACCCACAGGGGACGTTGTGACATATCTCTGCACTGATCACCCAGGTGATGTAACTCTTCTCTATGCTCTGTCTACAGGGCAGATTGTGACATAACTCTGCACTGATCACCCAGGTGATGCAACTCTTCTCTATGCAGTGCCTACAGGGGGTATTGTGACATACCTCTGCACTGATAACCCAGGTGATGTAACCCTTTTCTACTCTCTGCCTACTGAGGGCGTTGTGACAACACTCTGCACGGAATACCCGTGTTATGTAACTCTTGTCTAGGCCCTGCCTATGGGGGCACTGTGGCTTATCTCTGCACTGATCACCCAGGAGATGTGACACTTTTCTAAGCTCTGCCTGGAGGGACATTGGGACATTTCTCTGCACTGATCGCTGAGGTGATGCAAAACTTGTCTAGGCTTTGCGTACAGTGGGTTTTATGACATATCTCTGCACTGATCACCCAGGTGATGTAACTCTTTTCTAGGCTCTGCTTACAGAGGGTATTGTGAGATATCTCTGCACTGATCACCCAGGGGATGTAACTCTTGTCTAGGCTGTGCCTACTGGAGACATTGTGACATATCACTGCACTGATCACCGAGATGTTGTAACTCTTGTATAGGCTTCACTGACAGGGGGCATTGAGACATATCTCTACACTGATCACCGAGGTGATGCAACTATTGTCTGGGATCTGCTTACAGGGTGCATTGTGACATATCTCTACCCTGATCACCCAGTTGATGTAACTCTTGTCTAGGCTCTGCCTACTGGAGACATTGTGACATATCTCCGCACTGATCACCCAGGTGATGTTACTTTTGTCAAGGATATCGCTACAGGGACATTGTGACATGTCACTGCACTGATCACACAGCTGATGTAACTCTTGTCTAGGCTCTGCCTACAGGGGCATTGTGAAATATCTCTGCAGTGATAACGCAAGTGATGTAACTTTTGTCTATATCTGCCTACTGGCGGCATTGTGGCATATTTCTGCACTGATCACCCAGGTGATGGACTCCTGTCTTGGATTTGCCTATGGGGGCATAGTGACATATCTCTGCACTGATCACTCATGTGATGTAACGCTTGTCTAAGCTGCGCCTAAAGGGGAATTGTGACAGATATCTCCCCTGATCACCCAGATGATGTAACGATTTTCTGTGATTTGTCTACAGGGGGATTTGTGACATATCTTTGCACTGATCACCCAGGAGGTGTAACTGTTGTCTATGCTTGGCCTATATGGGATTTGTGACATATTTCTGCACTGATTACCCAGGTGATGTAACTCTTGTCTAGGCTCCACCTCCAGGGGGTATGGTGACGTATCTCTGCACTGATCACTCAGTTGATGTAACATTTATCTAGGCTCTGCCTACAGAGATGTTTTGACATAGCTGTGCACAGATCAACTAGATTATGTAACTCTTGTCCACTCTCTGCCTACAGGGGGCATTGTGAAATATCTCTGCACTGATTACCCAGGTGATGGGACTCTTTTCTATACTCTGCCTAGAGGGGGAATTTGTGACAAATCTCTGGACTGATCACCCAGACGATGGAAGTCTTGTCTAGGCTCTGTCTATGAGGTCATTGTGTCAAATATCTGCACTGATCACCCAGTTGATTTAACTCTTGTCTAGGCTCTGTCTAGAGGGATTTTTCTAACATATCACTGCACTGATCACCTAGGTGATGTAAGCCTTGTATGGGCGTTGCCTACAGAAGGCTTTGTGACAGATCTGTGCACTGATCTCTGAGGTAATGCAACTCTTGTCTAGGCACTGCCTACAGGGTACATTGGTACATACCTCTGCACTGATCACCCAGGTGATGGACTTTTGTCTTAGATGTGCCTACATGGACATTGTGACACATCTCTGAACTGATCAACCAAGTGATGAAACTCTTGTCTAGGCTCTGCCTACAGGGGCTTTGTGACACATCTCTGCACTGATCACCCTGGGGAGGGAACTCTTGTCTACGCTCTGCCTACAGGAAGCTTTATGACTTATACCTGCACTGATAACCTAGGTGATGTAACACTTGTCTAGGCTCTGCCTACACGGGAATTCTCACATATCTCTGCACTGATCACCGAGGTGATGTAACTCCTGTCTATGTTCAGCCTGCAGGAGAGTTTTGACATATCTCTGCACTGATCACCCAGGTGATGTAACCCTTGTCTAAGCTCTGCCTACACGGGCATTGTGACAGATCTCTCCACTGCTCACCCAGCTGATGTAACAATTGTCTGGGATTTGCCTACAGGGGCTTTGTGATATACATTTCCGCTGATCAAACAGGTGATGTAACCCTTGTCAAGGTTCTGCTTATAGGGGCTTTATGACATATCTCTGCACTGATCACCCCAGGAAGAAAACACTTGACTACACTCTGCCTACAGGAGGCTTTACGACTTATCCCTGCACTGATCACTAGGTGATGTAACACTTGTCTAAGCTCTGTATACACGGGAATTTTCACATATCTCTACACTGCTCACCTAAATGATGTACCGCTTGTGTAGGTTCAGCCTACTGTGGATTTCTGACGTACCTATGCACTGATCACCGAGGTGATGTAAATCATTTCCAGGCTTTTTGTACAGGGGACATTGTGATATATCTCTGCACTGATCACCCAAATGATGGAAATCCTCTCTAGGCTCCGCAGGGAGGGTGCATTGTGACATATCTCTGAACTGATCATTCAGTTCTGTAACTATTCTCCAGGCTTTGACTAAAGAGTGTCAAAAGGTGTTGGGAGAGCCTCAGCCGGAATTTCACGACAAGGGCACAGAGAGGCGAGAGGGCTCCCTTACACGTCAGCCAGTGTGCGCAATGAGCGCCGGTCTAGCCAGGAGGCCAGCAAAGAGAGCTAGAGGTCAGCGTTCCACCGCCAGGCGCCCCATGGTGGCAGCTGGGAGGCTGCAGGGGCACGGGCTCTTTTAAAGGCCCGCAGGCAGGCAGGCTCCACCACTTCATGAATGGCGGTGAGCCCTGGGACAGCCCGCCCCACACCAGAAGGGTCCCAGCTCGTCGAGGCCTGTAGCCGGAGGGTGGTCGGGTGTGGGGGGATGGCGTGGTGATGGTGGTGGTGGGGCTGGATAGACGAAGAGGAAGGGGGCGAAGGGGAAAGGGTGAGGGGGGCGCGTTTCGGGAGCTGGATCTCCGGACCTCACCAGGAATCCCGCGGGAACTGGAAGCTGCTCTCTGGGCTCCCACGCGTTTTCAGCAGAGAGAAACTGGCCTGGGAGTGTGGCCGGGAGTGTGGAACTGAACTTCCGTGAGTCTTCAGTGTTCCAGGCCCTCTCTCCGTGAAGGAGGCAGTGCCTGTGGGTGGCGCCATTGCCAGGACAGTCTGACACACGCAGCCATGTGGCTGTCATTTATTTCTACTTTGGAGACCAGAGCGAGACCCCAGAGAGAAGATGCCTCCCTAGCGTGATGGACTGACGATGGATTCCCGTGTGCAGCAACATGGGGAGACTGCAGTGTGGCCGGTTTGGAAACTGGCAAGGAGAGCGAAGGAACCATGCCGGTCTTCCACACTTCCCTCATGTTTCCGGGTGCCCGCAGAGCTCCGGGAGCAAACAGTTAGCATGACACATCTCAGAACTGTTCAACAAAGTGATGTAACACTTGTCTAGGCTCTGCCTACAGGGGCTTTGTGACATATCTCTGCACTGTTCACCCAGCTGATGGGAGTTTTTTCTAGGCTCTGCCTATGGGGACATTGTGACATATCTCTACACTGATCACCTTGGTGATGTAACTCTTGTGTTGGATCTGCCTATGGGGGCATTGTGACATATTTCTACACTGATCGCCCAAGTGATGGGACTCTTGTCTAGGCACTGTGGATGGGGGCTTTGTGACTTATCTCTGCACTGATCACCCAGGTGATGTAACGATTAACTAGGCTCTGCCTACGGGGCATAGTGACATATCACTGCATTGATCACCGAGGTGATGTAACTCTTGTCCAGGCTCTGCCTATAGGGGGCCTTGTGACATATCTCTGCACTGATCACCTAGGTGATGCAACTCTTGCTTACGCTCTGCCTGCAAGGCATTATGAAATATCTCTGCACTGATCACCAAGGAGATGGGAATCTTCTCTAAGCTCTGCCTACTGGGGGCATTGTCACATATTTCTGCACTGATCACCCATGTGATGGACTCTTGTCTTGGATTTGCCTATGGGGGCATTGTGACATATCTCTGCACTGATCACCCAGGTGATGTAACTCTTGTCTAAGCTCTGCCTAAAAGGGCATTGTGACAGATCTCTGCACTGATCACTCAGGTGATGTAACTATTGTCTAGGCTCTGCTTAAAGGGGCCTTGTCACATATCTCTGCACTGATCACCCAGGTGATGTAACTCTTGTCTAGGCTCTGCTTAAACCTGGTATTGTGACGTATCTCTGCACTGATCACATAAGTGATTTAACACTTGTGTAGGCTCTGCATTCAGGGGCATTTTGACATATCTCTGCACTGTTAACCGAGGTGATGTAACCCTTGTCTAGGCTGTGCCCACAGGGGGATTGAGACATATCTCTGCACTTATTCCGAGAAGATCCAACTCTTGCCTGGTCTCTGCCTACTGGTGACATTGTGACATATCTCTGCACTGATCTCCCAGGTGCTCTAACTATATTCTAGGCTCTGGCTACACGGCATTGTGACATATCACTGTACTGAACACCCAGGTGATATAACTCTTGTCTAGGCTCTGCCTACAGGGGGCTTGTGACATATCTCTGCACTGATCACCCAGGTGATATAACTCTTCTCTAGGATCTGCCTACAGAGTGCTTTGTGACATATCCCTGCAATGATCACCCAGGTGATATACCATATGTCAAGGCTCTGCCTACAAGGGCATTGTGACAGAACTCTGCACTGATCACCCAGGTGATGGGACTCTTGTCTAGGCTCTCCCAACAGTGGCATTGTGACATATCCCTTCACTGATCACCCAGGTGATGCAAATCTTTTGTAGGATCTGCCTACAGGGTGCTTTGTGACATAGCCCTGCAATGATCACCCAGGTGATATACCACTTGTCAAGGCTCTGCTTACAGGGGCATTGCGATGTATCTCTGCACTGATCACCTAGGTCATGTAACTCTTGTCTAGGCTCTGCCTACAGTGGCATTGTGACATATCTCTGCACTGATCATCCAAGTGATGTAACTCTTTTCCAGAATCTGCCTAAAGGGACTTTGGGACACAACTCTGCACTGATCATCCAGGTGTTGGGCTTTTGTCTAGGCTCTGCCTAAGGGGGCAATGTGACATATTTCTTCACTGATCACCCAGGTGACTGAGTCTTGTCTTGGATCTGCCCATGGGGGCATTGTGACATATCTCTGCACTGAACACCCAGGTGATGTAAGTGTTGTACAAGCTCTGCCTACAGGGGAATTGTGAGGGATCTCACCACTGATCACCATAGTGATGTAAATATTGTCTAGGCTTTGCCAACAGGAGGCTTTGGAACATACCTTTGCACTGATCACCTAGGTGATGTAACTCATCTAAATTCTGCCTACAGGAGCTTTGTGACACATCTCTGCACTGATCACTTAGTTGATGTAACACTTTTATAAGCACTGCCTATAGGAAATTTTGACAAATCTCTGCACTGATCACATATGTGATGTAACCCTTGTCTACCCTCTGCCCAAAGGGGGCATTGTGAAATATCTCTGCATTGATAACCCAGGTGATTCAACTCTTGTCTAGGATCTGCCTACAGGGGGTATTGTGAAATATCTCTGCACTGATCAGCTAGGTGATGTAACTCTTGTCTTGGCTCTGCCTACATGGACGTTTTCACATATCCCTGAACTGATGACAAAGGTGATGTAACTCTTGTCTTGGCTCTGCCTACATGGGCGTTTTCACATATCCCTGAACTGATGACAAAGATGATGTAACTCTTGCCTAGGCTTTGCCTACAGGGGACATTGTGACATATCTCTGCACTGATGAAGTGATGAAACCCTTGTCTAGGTTTAGCCTATTGGGAATTTCTGTCATACCTATGCACTGATTACCGAGGTGATGTAAATCATTTCCAGGCTTTTTGTACAGGGGACATTGTGATATGTCTCTGCACTGATCACCCAAATGATACAAATCTTCTCTATGCTCTGCAGGGAGGCTGCATTGTGACATGTTTCTGAACTGATCATTCAGGAGATGTAACAATTCTCCAGGCTTTGACTAAAGAGCATCAGATGTTGTTGGGAGAACCTCAGCCGGAATTTCTCGGATGGACAAGGTCACAGAGAGACCAGCGGGCTCCCTTGCACATCAGCCAGGGTGCGCAATGAGTGCAGGTCGAGCCAGGAGGCCAGCTAAGAGAGCTAGAGGTTTGAGTTCCGCCGCCAGGCCCTCCATGGTGACAGGTGGGAGGCTGCAGGGGAATGCACGTGTGGGCTACGGTGGCATGGAGGCGCAGAGGATGCAAGCCACTAAAGGGATGTCAGGAAAGGACGCTGCGCGGGCCCGGTGTTTCGCGGGACGGGGTTCTCCACCCAGGCCATGGGAGGAAGCATTTTCCGGGGGTGGGGTGTGGCGGTGGGGAGGGGGTGGTCAGGCGGTGGTGAGGTGGTGGAGAGGCATGAGAGCTCTGCCCGGGCTGCTCCCACAGCCCAGGCGGCTGCCCTCAAACCCGCGCGTGCGCAGTAGGTGGCCCACCTGCTGGTACCTGGGCTGGCACTGGGATCCCCGGGATGCCCAGGAAAGAATGGCAGTTCTCCGCTGTGTGGAGTCTCTCACCAGGCCTAGACCTAGAAGGCAGGAATCCCAGGCCTGTCAGCCCGGTGGAGGGGGCGGGGGGAAGACATGCCCCTCCATAGCCAGCCAGGTGTTCCCCGTGAAGGAGAGGCCACCGCCCTGCCCCGACCCGACCCCGTCCCAACCCTGTGTCCTAAAGTTCCTCCCGCAGAGCCCGGTATTCTTCCTCACTGAGGGGTGCTTCCAGCCGGGCCGCCCCTTCCAAGGCTTCCAGCTCCCCTGGGGCCTCCGTTTCTAGGAAAGATTTTGCCTGCTGCAGAAACTCCGGGCTCTCCAGGAGCTCAACCAGCAGCAGGCCAGAGGGGAGTGCAGGCGAGCACCCCGGCTCCTGGAGCGCCCAGGAGGGCGCCGGGATGCCTAGCATCTGCCCCTGCTGGGCCGAGGCCTCTAGGGCACAGGCTGGCGAGGTGGGGCTGCCCCGGCTTGGGATTCCCACACCGCCCCGGAGACCGGCGGACACCAGCCACAGCCCCACGAAGGACTCCCCTGGGATGCGGTTGGCGCAAGCACACCTTAGCCCTGTGGCCCCGCCTGAGCGGGCCCAGGCTGTCCCACTGTGCAAGGGCCTGGCAATTTGTTGCGCTCTGGGTCCCGGTCCTCCAGGCTTTTACCCAGGTGTGGAGGCCACCAAGGAGCCTGAGCGTCGGAGAGCGCCCCTTCCGGAGGAGCCAGGGCGGCCTAGGCAAAATCCACGCGTGCCGGGGCAGGTTGGGAGATCCCCTCTGCTGGCGCGGCCTGGCTGGGCTGGAGCACGGGGACGGCCCTCGATCCCTGTCTCACAAAAGCCCCCTGTGGGAGAGACCCAGGCGCGCAGGGCATGTGGAGTGCGGGAAGCCTCGTTCCACACGCGCCAGTGTGGGTGAAGGGGACCCACGAGGGAGCAGGGTGACACCCACCGGGGGCCTCATTGCACAGGCCGCCTGCCTGTGCGGGCGCCCTGCCCGCCTCTCCCGGGTGCCTGGTCCTTCGATTCTGAAACCAGATATCACTGCTGGTCTCCGGGCTGGGTGGAGACCACTGTCCCAGGAAACACCGGGCCCGCCCTGCGTCCAGGCCTGACACCCCTCTGGCGGCTTGCCTCATCTGTGCCTCCGCGCCACCGTCGCTGGCCCGCCCGTGACCATGCAGACTCCCAGCTGCCACCATGGAGCTCCTGGCGGAGGAACCCAGACTTCTAGCTCTCTTTACCAGCCTCCTGGCTACACATGCGCTCATTGCACTCCCCAGCTGACGTACAAGGGAGCCCGCTGGCCTCTCTGTGACCCTGTCCATCCGTGAAATTCCGGCTAAGGCTCTCCCAACACCTTCCGATGCTCTTTAGTCAAAGCCTGGAGAATAGGTACATCTCCTGGATGATCAGTTCAGAAATGTGTCACAATGCCCCCTCCCTGCGGAGCATAGAGAAGATTTGCATCATTTGGGTGATCAGTGCAGAGATATAACACAATGTCCCCTGTACAAAAAGCCTGGAAATGATTTACATCACCTTGGTGATCAGTGCATAGGTATGTCAGAAATCCCCAGTAGGCTGAACCTAGACAAGGGTTACATCACTTAGGTGATGAGTGTAGAGATATGTGAAAATTCCCGTGTAGACAGAGCCAAGACAAGTGTTACATCACCTAGTGATCAGTGCAGGGATAAGTCGTAAAGCCTCCTTTAGGCAGAGTGTAGAAAATTGTTTCCTCCCTGGGGTGATCAGTGCAGAGAAATGTCACAAAGCCCCTGTAAGCAGAACCTTGACAAGGGTTACATCACCTGTTTGATCTGCGGAAATGTATATCACAAAGCCCCCTGTAGGCAAAACCCAGACAATTGTTACATCACCTGGGTGAGCAGTGGAGGGATCTGTCACAATGCCCCTGTAGGCAGAGCTTAGACAAGGGTTACATCACCTGGGTGATCAGTGAATAGATATGTCAAAACTCTCCTGCAGGCTGAACCTAGACAGGAGTTACATCAACCAGGTGATCAGTGCACAGATATGTGAGAATTCCTGTGTAGGGAGAGCCTAGACCAGTTTTTCATCAACTAGGTTATCTGTGCAGGTATAAGTCATAAAGCCTCCTGTAGGCAGAGCGTAGACAAGAGTTCCATCCCCAGGGTGATCAGTGCAGAGATGTGTCACAAAGCCCCTGTAGGCAGAGGCTAGACAATAGTTTCATCACTTGTTTGTTCAATTCAGAGATGTGTCACAATGTCCATGTAGACAGATCTAAGACAAGCGTCCATCACCTGGGTGATCAGTGCAGAGATATGTCCCGATGTCCCCTGTAGGCACTGCCTAGACAAGAGTTGCATCACCTCAGAGATCAGTGCATAGATATGTCACAAAGCCTTCTATAGGCAAAGCCCATACAAGGCTTACATCACCTAGGTGATCAGTGCAGTGATATGTCACACAAATCCCTGTAGACAGACCGTAGACAAGAGTTACATCACCTGGGTGATCAGTGCAGATATTTGACACAATGCCCCCATAGACAGAGTCTAGACAAGACTTCCATCTCCTGCGTGATCAGTGCAGAGATATGTCACAAATCTCCCTCTAGGCAGAGTATAGAGAAGAGTCCCATCACCTGGGTGACCAGTGCAGAGTTACTTCACAATGCCCCCTGTAGACAGAGAGTTGACAAGAGTTACATAACCTACGTGACCTGTGCAGAGCTATATCAAAACGCCCCTGTAGGCAGATCCTATGTAAATGTTACATCACCTGGGTGATCAGTGCAGAGATACGTCACAATAGCCCCTGTAGGTGGAGCCTAGAAATGAGTTACATCACCTGGGTGATCAGTGCAGAGATAAGTCACAATGCACCCTGTAAGCTGTGCATAGAGAAGAGTTGCATCACCTGGGTGATCAGTACAGAGATATGTCACAATGGCCCCTGTTGGCAGAGCACAGAGAAGAGTTGCATCACCTGGGTGATCAGTGCAGAGATATGTCACAGTGTCCCCGTAGGCAAGGCCTAGGCAAGAGTTATATCACCTTTGTCATCAGTTCAGGGATATGTGAAAACGCCCCTGTAGGCAGAGCCTAGACGAGTGTTACATCACCTAGTTGATTAGTGCAGAGATATTTCACAATACCCCCTGTAGGCAGATCCTAGACAAGAGTTGAATCACCTGGGTGATCAGTGCAGAGATATTTCACAATGCCCCCTTTGGGCAGAGGGTAGACAAGAGTTATATCACCTAGGTGATCCGTGCAGAGATTTGACAAAATTCCCTGTATGCAGTGCTTATAAAAGTGTTACATCACCTAAGTGAGCAGTGCAGAGATATGTCACAAAGCTCCTGTAGGCAGAACTTAGATGAGTTACGTCACCTGGGTGATCAGTGCAAAGGTATGTCACAAAGCCCCGTGTAGGCAAAGCCTAGAATATCGTTACATCACTTGGGTGATCAGTGGTGAGATTTCTCACAGTTCACCTGTCAGCAGAGCTTATACAACAGTTACATCACCTGGGTGATCAGTGCAGAGACATGTCACAATGCCCCCATAGGCAAATCCAAGACAAGAGTCCGTCACCTGGGTGATCAGTGCAGAAATATGTCACAATGCCCCCTTAGGCAGAGCCTAGACAAAACCCCATCACCTGGATGATCAGTGCAGAGTTATGTCGCAAAGTCCCTTTAGGCAGTTCCTAGACAATGTTACATCACTTGGATAACCAGAGCAGAGATATGTCACAATGCCAATGTAGGCAGAGCATAGACAAGATTTACATGACCTAGGTGATCAGTGCAGAGATGCATCGCAATGAACCTGTAGGCAGAGCCTTGACAAGTGGTACATCACCTGGATGAACATTGCAGGGATATGTCACAAAGCACCCTGTAGGCAGATCCCAGAAAATAGTTACATCACCTGGGTGATCAGTGCAGTGATATGTCACAATGCCACTGTAGGCAGAGCCTAGACAAGAATTACATGACCTAGGTGATCAGTGCAGAGATACTTCGCAATGCCCCTGTAGCCAGAGCCTTGACAAGTGGTATATCACCTGCGTGATCATTGCAGGGATATGTCACAAGGCACCCTGTAGGCAGATCCTAGAGAAGAGTTATATCACCTAGGTGATCAGTGCAGAGATATGTCACAAGCCCCCTGTAGGCAGAGCCTAGACAAGGGTTATATCACCTGGGTGATCAGTGCAGTGATATGTCACAATGCCGTGTAGCCAGAGCCCAGACTAAAGTTACAGCACCTGGGAGATCAGTGCAGAGATATGTTACAATGTCCCCATTAGGCACAGACCAGACAACAGTTGGATCACCTCGGGATCAGTGCAGACATATGTCTCAATCCCCCTGTGGGCACAGCCTAGACAATTGTTACATCACCTCGGTTAACAGTGCAGAGATATGTCAAAATGCCCCTGTAGGCAGAGCCTTCGCAAGGATTACATCACTTATGTGATCAGTGCAGAGATATGTCACAATACCCCCTGTAAACAGAGCCTAGACAAGAGTTACATCACCTGGGTGATCAGTGCAGAGATATGTGACAAGGCCCCTTTAAGCAGAGCCTAGACAACAGTTACATCACCGGAGTGATCAGTGCAGAGATCTTTCACAATGCCCTTTTAGGCAGAGCTTAGACCACAGTTACATCATCTGGGTGATCAGTGCAGAGATATGTCACAATGCCCCCATAGGAAAATCCAAGAAAAGAGTCCGCCACATGGGTGATCAGTGTAGAAATATGTGACAATAGCCCCAGGAGGCAGAGCCTAGAGAAAAGTCCAATCACCTGGGTGATCAGTGCAGAGATATGTCACAAAGCCCCCATACACAGAGCATAGACAAGAATCCCATCACCTGGGTGATCAGTGAAGACATATGTCAAAATGACCCCAGAGGCAGATCCAACACAAGAGTTACATCACCTGGCTGATCAGTGCAGAGATATGTCAGAATGCTCCTCTAGGCTGAACCTAGAAATGAGTTACATCAACTGAGTGATCAGTGCAGAGATATGTGAGAATTCCCGTGTAGGCAGAGTCTAGACAAGTGTTACATCACCTAGGTTATCAGTGCAGGTATAAGTCATAAAGCCTCCTGTAGGCAGAGCATAGACAAGACTTTCCTCCCCAGGGTCATCAGTGCAGAGATGTGTCACCAAGCCCATTTAGGCAGAGCCTAGACAAGAGTTTCATCACTTGGTTGATCAGTTCAGAGATGTGTCACAATGTCCATGTAGGCAGATCTAAGACAAGAGTCCATCTCCTGGGTGATCAGTGCAGAGATATGTACCAATGTCCCCTGGAGGCAGTGCCGAGACAAGAGTTGCCTCACCTCAGCGATGAGTGCATAGATATGTCACAAAGCCTTCTGTAGGCAAAGCCCATACAAGGCTAACATCACCTAGGTGATCAGTGCAGTGATATGTCACAAAAATTCCTGTAGACAGAGCCTAGAAAAGAGTTACATCACCTGGGTGATCAGTGCAGATATTTGACACAATGCCCCCATGGACAGAGCTTTGACAAGACTTCCATCACCTGGGTGATCAGTGCAGAGATATGTCACAAACCCCCTCTAGGCAGAGTAAAGAGAAGTGTCCCATCACCTGAGTGATCAGTGCAGAGATATTTCACAATGCCCCTGTAGGCTGAGAGTGGACAAGAGTTACATAACCTAGGTGATCTGTGCAGAGCTATTTCAAAACGCCCCTGTAAGCAGAGCCTAGATAAATGTTACATCACCTGGGGGATCAGTGCAAAGATACGTCGCAATACCCCCTGTAGTTGGAGCCTAGACAAGAGTTACATCACCCGGGTGATCAATGAAGAGATACTTCACAATACACCCTGTAGTTGGAGCAGAGACAAGAGTTACATCACCTGGGTGATCAGTACAGAAATATGTCACAAAGCCCCTGTAGGCAGAGCCTAGAAAAGAGTTACATCACCTAGTTGATCAGTGCAGAGATATTTCACAATGTCCCCTATAGGCAAAGCCTAGACGTGAGTTACATCACCTTTGTAATCAGTTCACGGATATGTGAAAACGCCCCTGTGGGGAGAGCCTAGACAAAAGTTACATCACCTAGGTGATCAGTGCAGAGATATTTCACAATATCCCCTGTAAGCAGATCCTAGACAAGAGTTGAATCACCTGGGTGATCAGTGCAGAGATATTTCACAATGCCCCCTTTGAGCAGAGTGTAGACAAGAGTTACATCACCTAGGTGATCAGTGCAGAGATTTGTCAAAATTCCCTGTAGGCAGTGCTTATAAAATTGTTATATCACATAAGTGATCAGTGCAGAGATATGTCACAAAGCTCCTGTAGGCAGAACTTAGATGAGTTACATCACCTGGATGATCAGTGCAAAGGTATGTCACAAAGCCCCCTGTAGGCAAAGCCTAGACAATAGTTACATCAGTGGGGTGATCAGTGGCGATATCTCTCACAATTCCCCGGTAGGCAGAGCTTATACAACAGTTACATCAGCTGGGTGATTATTGCAGAGATATGTCACAATGCCCCCATAGGCAGATCCAAGACAAGAGTCCGTCACCTGGGTGATCAGTGCAGAAATATGTCACAATGCCCACTTAGGCAGAACCTAGACAATAGCCGCATCACCTGGATGATCAGTGCAGAGTTATGTCACAAAGTTCCTTTAGGCAGATCCTAGACAAGAGTTGCATCACTTGGATGATCAGTGCAGAGATATGTCACAATTCCACTGTAGGCAGAGTCTAGACAAGAGTTACATGACCTAGGTGATTAGTGCAGAGATACAGCGTAATGTCCCTGTAGGCAGGGCCTTGACAAGTGGTACATCACCTGGATGATTATTGCATGGATATGTCACAAAGCATCCTGTAGGCAGATCCTAGAGAAAAGTTATATCACCTGGGTGATCAGTGCAGAGTTATGTCACAAGCCCCTGTAGGCAGAGCCTAGACAAGAGTTATATCACTTGGGTGATCAGTGCAGTGATATGTCACAATGCCGTGTAGCCAGAGCCTAGACTAAAGTTACAGCACCTGGAAGATCAGTGCAGAGATATGTCACAATGTCCCCAGTAGGCAGAGACCAGGCAAGAGTTGGATCACCTCAGGATCAGTGCAGAGTAATGGCTCAATCCCCATGTGGGCACAGCCTAGACAAGGGTTACATCACCTCGGTTAACAGTGCAGAGATATGTCAAAATGCACCTGTAGGCATAGCCTACACAAGTGTTACATCACTTAGGTGATCAGTGTAGAGATATGTCCCAATACCCCTGTAAGCAAAGCCTAGAAAAGGGTTACATCACCTGGGTGATCAGTGCAGAGATATGTGACAAGGCCCCTTTAAGCAGAGCCTAGACAATAGTTACATCACCTGAGTGATCAGTGCAGAGATCTGTCACAATGCCCCTTTAGGCAGAGCTTAGACCAGAGTTACATCACCTGGGTGATCAGTGCAGGGATATGTCACAATGCTCCCATAGGCAAATCCAAGACAAGAGTCTGTCACCTGGGTGATCAGTGCAGAAATATGTGACAATGCTCCCAGTAGGCAGAGCCTAGAGAAGAGTCCCATCACCTGGGTGATCAGTGCAGAGATATTTCACAATGCCCCTGCAGGCAGAGCGCAAGCAAGCTTTACATCACCTAGATGATCAGTGCAGAGATATGTCACAAGCCCCCCAATAGGCAGAGCCTGGACAAGAGTTATATCACCTCGGTGATCAATGCAGTGATATATCACTATGCCCCGTAGGCAGAGCCTAGTCAAGCATTACATCACCTGGGTGATCAGTGCAGAGATATGTCACAAAGCCCCCAAACCCAAAGCCTAGACAAGAGTCCCATCACCTGGGAGATCTGTGAAGAAATATGTCACAATGCCCCCATAGGCAGATCCAACACAAGAGTTACATCACCTGGGTGATCAGTGTAGAGATATGTCACAATGCCTGCATAGGCAGAGCCTAGACAAAAGTCCCATCACTTGGGTGATCCGTGCAGAGTGATGTCACAGCGCCCTCTGTAGGCACAGACTAGAAAATAGTTGCATCACCTCAGTGATCAGTGCGGAGATATGTCAAAATGTCTCCAGTAGGCAGAGACTAGACAAGAGTTATATCACCTGAGTGATCAGGGCAGAGATATGTCACAATGCACCCTGTTAGCAGATCCCAGACAAGAGTTGCATCACCTCGGTGATCAGTGCAGAGATATGTCTCAATGCCCCCTGTCTGCGAAGCCTATACAAGAGTTACATCATCTCGGTGATCAGTGCAGTGATATGTTAAAATGCCCCTGTAGGCCGAGCCTAGACAAGAGTTACATCACCTGGTTGATCAGTGCAGAGATATCTCACAATACCCCCTATAAGCAGAGCCTAGACAAGAGTTACATCACCTGGGTGATCAGTGCAGACATATGTCATAAATCGCACTGTAGGCAAAGCCTAGACAAGTTTTACATCACCTCAGCGATCAGTGCAGAGATATGTCCCAATGTCCCTCTAGGCAGAGGTTAGACAAGAGACACATCTCCTGGGTGATCACTGCAGTGCTAAGTCACAATGCCCCAATAGGCAGAGCCTAGACAAGAGTTACATAACCAGGGTGATCCGTGAAGAGTGATGTCACAACGCCCTCTGTAGGCAGAGACTAGAAACGAGTTACATCACCTGGGTGATCAGTGCAGAGATATGTCACAATGCCCCCTGTAGGCAGAGCATAGAGAAGAGTTGCATCACCTGGGTGATCAGTGCAGAGATATGTCACAATGGCCCCTGTAGGCAGAGCATAGAGAAGAGTTGCATCACCTGGGTGATCAGTGCAGTGATATGTCACAATGGCCCCTGTAGGCAGAGCATAGAGAAGAGTTGCATCACCTGGGGATCAGTGCAGAGATATGTCACAATGTCCCCTGAAGGCAAAGCCTAGGCAAGAGTTACATCACCTTTGTCATCAGTTCAGGGATATGTGAAAACGCCCCTGTAGGCAGAGCCTAGACAAGAGTTACATCACCTAGTTGATCAATGCAGAGATATTTCACAATACCCCCTGAAGGCAGATCCTAGACAAGAGTTGGATCACCTGGGTTAACAGTGCAGAGATATTTCACAATGCCCCCTTTGGGCAGAGGGTAGACAAGAGTTACATCACCTAGGTGACCACTGCAGAGATTTTTCAAAATTCCCTATAGGAAGTGCTTATAAAAGTGTTACATCACCTAGATAATCAATGCAGAGATATGTCACAAGGCCCCCTGTAGGCAGAGCCTGGACAAGAGTTACATCACCTCGGTTATCAATGCAGTGATATGTCACTATGTCCTGTAGGCAGAGCCTAGTCAAGCGTTGCATCACCTGGGTGATCAGTGCAGAGATATGTTCACAAAGCCCCCATACACAGAGCCTAGACAAGAGTCCCATCACCTGGGTGATCAGTGCAGAAATAGGTCACAATGCCCCCATAGGAAGATCCAACACAAGAGTTACATCACCTGGGTGATCAGTGTAGAGTTATGTCACAATGCCCCCATAGGCAGAGCCTAGACAAAAGTCCCATCACCTGGTGATCAGTGCAGAGATATGGTTTTCCGGGCAGACCTCCTGGCTGCACCTGCTGCAGTGCACAGGCCGGCTGAGGTGCACGGGAGCCCGCGGGCTGGCGGAGCTCTGCGGGCACCCGGAAACATGCAGGGAAGGGTGGAAGACAGACATGGTGCCTGCGGCCGGGGGTTGTTGGGGTGGGGGTGGAGGGTGTGGTGATGGTGGTGGTGGGGCCGGAGAGACGAAGAGGAAGGGGGCGAGGGGGAAGGGGTGAGGGGTGTGCATTTGAGGGGCTGGCTCTCCGGACCTCTCCAGGAATCCCACGGGAACTGGAAGCCGCTCTCTGGGCTCCCATGCACCTTCAGCAGGGAGAAACCCGCCTGGGAGGGTGGAGTGGAGAGTGGAACTGAACCTCCGTGGGAGTCTTGAGTGTTCCAGGCCCTCTCTCCGTGTAGGAGGCAGTGCCTGTGGGCCTACAGAGGGCGTTGTGACATCACTCTGCACGGATCACCCGGGTTATGTAACTCTTGTCTAGGCTCTGCCTACGGGGGCATTGTGACTTATCTCTGCACTGATCACCCAGAAGATGTGACTCTTGTCTAAGCTCTGCCTAGAGGGACACCCAGGTGATGGGACTCTTGTCTAGGCTCTGTGTATGGGGGCTTTGTGACATGTCCCAATGTCCCCGCGATGGCACTCTCGAAACCTTCGGAGGGCACCCTCCCCAGCCCCATCCCCCAACCCCGGAAAATGTGTCCTCCCCTGGGCTGAGTGGCTAGACCTGCAGTCATTGCACACACCGGCTGACGTGCAAGGGAGCCCCCTGGCCTCTCTGTGCCCTTGTGCATCCGTGCTCAGTACAGAAATATGTCACAAAGCCCCTGTAGGCAGAGCCTAAATAAGAGTTACATCTCCTGGGTGGTCAGTGCAGAGATATGTCATAAATCCCTGTGTAGGCAAAGCCTAGAGAATTTTACATCACCTCAGCGATCAGTGCAGAGATCCGGTGACGGCGGTCCGCTTTCGCCTGCCTTCTTGTGGGCTGCGTCTCCGGGCCAGGGCCAAGATTCCCACTGATGCTGCCTCAGCTAGCGTGACCTCTCATTCTGAAACCAAATCTGGACCCTGGGCCATGGAATGCCGATGGCCTGGGCCAGCTGTTCTCTGGTGGCGATGCCCGGGTACGGGTTCCGCTCAAAGCAGGCTTGCAGGGCCTCGCTTTGGCTCGGGGTCCAAACAAGTCTCTTTTGTCGTCCCCTGCCCCAGGCTTCCACGGGGAGGGTGCCGTCCGAAGGTGTTGGGAGGGCCATCGCGGGGAGCCCTGGCCAGAATTTCACGGACAGACACGGGCAGAGAGAGGCCGGCGGGCTCCCGTGCCCCTCAGCCAGCCTGTGCACTGTGGCAAGTGCAGCCAGGAGGCCTGCCCAGACAGCCAGCCAGCGGTTCTTATAAAGGCCCGCAGGCAGGCAGGCTCCACCCCGTCATGAATGGCGGTGAGCCCTGGGACAGCCCGCCCCACCCCGGAAGGGTCCGAGGGCGTCGAGGCCTGCGGCCGGGGGCTGGTGGTGTGGGGGGGAGGGCGTGGTGATGTTGATGGTGGGGCCAGAGAGACGAAGAGGAAGGGGGCGAGGGGGAAGGCGTGAGGGGGGCGCGTTTCAGGGATTGGCTCTCCGGGCCTCTCCAGGAATCCCGCGGGAACTGGAAGCCTCTCTCTGGGCTCCCACGAATCTTCAGCAGGGAGAAACCGGCCTGGGAGGGTGGAGGGGAGTGTGGAACTGAACTTCCGTGGTAGTCTTGAGTGTTCCAGGCCCTCTCTCCGTGAAGGAGCCAGTGCCTGTGGGTGTCGCCATTGCCGGGACAGTCTCACACACGCAGGCGTGTGGCTCTCGTTCATTTCCACGTAGGAGACAAGAGCGAGAGAAGATGCCTCCGCAGCGTGAAGGCTTGACGATGGATTCCCGTGTGCGGCAACATGGGGAGTCTGCAGGTTGGCCGGTTTGGAAACTGGCAAGGAGTGCAAAGGCACCATGGCGGCCTTCTACCCTTCCCTGCATGTTTCTGGGTGCCCGCAGACCTCCAGGAGCAAACAGTCAGCATGACACATCTCTGAATTGATCAACAAAGTGATGTAACTCTTGTCAAGGCTCTTCCTACACGGGAATTCTCAGATATCTCTGCACTGAACACCCAGATGACGGACCCTTGTCTTGGATCTGCCTATGGGGGCATTGTGACATATCTCTGCACTGAACACCCAGGTGACGTAACTGTTGTATAAGTTCTGCCTACAGGGGAATTGTGAGAGATCTCGCCACTGATCACCCAAGTCATGTAACTATAGTCTAGGCTTTGCCTAAAGGGGGCTTTTTGACATACATTTGCACTGATCAACCAGGTGATGTAACTCATCTAAGCTCTGCCTACAGGAGCTTTGTGAGATATCTCTGCACTGATGACTTAGGTGATGTAACACTTTTATAAGCACTGCCTATAGGGAATTTTGACAAATCTCTGCACTGATCACCTAGGTGATGTAACTCTTGTCTACCCTCAGCCCAAAGGGGGCATTGCGATATATCTCTGCATTGATCACCCAGGTGTTTCAACTCTTGTCTTGGATCTGCCTACAGGGGTTATTGTGAAATATCTCCGCACTGATCAACTAGGTGATGTAAGTCTTGTCTAGTCTCTGCCTACAGGGTCGTTTTCACATGTCCCTAAACTGATGACAAAGGTGATGTAGCCCTACTCTAGGCTCTGCCAACAGGGACGTTTTCACATATCCCTGAACTGATGACAAAGGTGGTGTAACTCTTGCCTAGGCTTTGCCTACAGGGGACATTGTGACATATCTCTGCACTGATCTCCCAGGTGCTGTAACTTTAATATAGGCTCTGGCTACACGGCATTGTGACATATCACCGCACTGATCACCCGGTGATATAACTCTTGTCTAGGCTCTGCCTACAGGGGGCTTGTGACATATCTCTGCAGTGATCACCCAGGTGATATAACTCTTCTCTAGGATCTGCCTACAGGGTTCTTTGTGACATATCCCTGCAATGATCACCCAGGTGATATACCACTTGTCAAGGCTCTGCCTACAGGGGCATTGCATTGTATCATGGCACTGATCACCTATGTGATGTAACCCTTGTCTAGGCTCTGCCTACAGTGGCATTGTGACATATCTCTGCACTGATCACCCAGGTGATATAACTCTTCTCTAGGATCTTCCTACAGGGTGCTTTGTGACATATCCCTGCAATGATCACCCAGGTGATGTACCACTTCTCGAGGCTCTGCCTACAGGGACATTGTGATGTATCTCTGCACTGATCACCTAGGTCATGTAATTCTTGTCTAGGCTCTGCCTACAGTGGCATTGTGACATATCTCTGCCCTGATCATCCAAGTGATGTAACCCTTGTCTAGGATCTGCCTAAAGGAATTATGTGACATAAGTCTGCACTGATCATCCAGGTGATGGGGCTTTTGTCTAGGCTCTGCCTAAGGGGGCATTGTGACATTTTTCTGCACTGATCACTTAGATGACGGACTCTTGTCTTGGATCTGCCTATGGGGGCATTGGGACATATCTCTGCAATGATCACCCGGGTGATGTAACTGTTGTATAAGCTCTGCCTACAGGGGAAATGTGAGAGATCTCACCCCTGATCACCCAAGTGATGTAACTATTGTCTAGGCTTTGCCCACAGGGGGCTTTGTGACATACATTTGCACTGATCACCCAGGTGATGTAACTCATCTAAGTTCTGCCTACAGGAGCTTTATGACATATCTCTGCACTGATCACTTAGGTGATGTAACACTTTTATAAGCACTGTCTACAGGGAATTTTGACAAATCTCTGCACTGATCTCCTAGGTGATGTAACTCTGGTCTAGGATCTGCCTACAGGGGGAATTTTGAAATATCTCTGCACTGATCAACTAGGTGGTGTACCTCTTGTCAAGGCTCTGCCTACAGAGGCGTTTTCACATATCTCTTCACTGATGACAAAAGTGATGTAACATTTGCCTAGGCTTTGCCTACAGGGGACATTGTGACATATATCTGCACTGATCACCCAGGTGATGCAACTCTTGCCTAGGCTTTGCCTACATGGGACATTGTGACATATCTCTGCACTGATCACCCAGGTGATGGAACTCTTCTCTATGGTCTGCCTACAGGGGTCATTGTGACATATCTCTGCACTGATCACCCAGGTGATGCAACTCTTCTCTATGCTCTGCCTACAGGGGGCATTGTGACATATCTCTGCACTAATCACCAAGGTGATGTAACTCTTTTCTAGTCTCTGCCTACAGAGGGCGTTCTGACATCACTCCGCACAGATAACCCGGGTTATGTAACTCTCGTCTAGGCTCTGCCTAGGGGGAAATTGTGACTTATTTCTGCACTGATCACCCAGGAGATATGAGTCTTGTCTAAGATATGCCTAGAGGGACATTGGGACATATCTCTGCACTGATCGCTGAGGTGATGTAAAACTTGTCTAGGCTTTGCCTACAGTGGAATTTATTACATATCTCTGCACTGATCACCCAGGTGATGTAAGTCTTTCCTAGGCTCTGCTTTCAGGGGGTATTGTGAGATATCTCTGCACTGATCACCCAGGTGATGTAACTCTTGTCTAGGCTCTGCTTACAGGGGCATTTTAACATATCACTTCACTGACTACCGAGATGATGTAACTCTTGTATAGGCTTCGCCGACAGGGGCTATTGAGATATACCTCTGCACTGATCACCGAGGTGATGCAACTCTTGTCTGGGATCTGCTTACAGGGGGCATTGTGACATATCTCTGCCCTGATCACCCAGGTGATGTAACTCTTGTCTAGGCTCTGCCTACTGGAGATATTGTGACATATTTCCGCACTGATCACCGAGGTGATGTTAGTTTTCTCAAGGATATGGCTACAGGGACATTGTGATATGTCACTGCACTGATCACACAGCTGATGTAACACTTGTCTAGGTTCTGGATACAGGGGTCTTGTGACACATCTCTGCACTGATCACCCAGGTGATGTAACCCTTGTCTAGGCTCTGCCAAAACGGGTTATTGTGACATAACTCTGCACTGATCACCCAGGTGATGGGACTCTTCTCTAGGCTCTGCCTACAGGGGCATTGTGACATATCTCTGCAGTGATCACGCAGGTGATGTAACTCTTGGCTATATCTGCCTACTGGCGGCATTGAGACATATTTCTGCACTGATCACCCAGGTGATGGACTTTTGTCTTGGATCTGCATACGGGGGCACAGTGACATGTCTCTGCACTGATCACTCATGTGATGTAACGCTTGTCTAAGCTGCGCCTGAAGGGGAATTGTGACAGATATCTCCACTGATCACCCAGGTGATGTAACAATTTCCTGGGATTTGTCTACAGGGGGCTTTGTGACATATCTTTGCACTGATCACCCAGGAGATATAACAACCCTTGTCTAGGCTCGGCCTACAGGGGCTTTGTGACATATTTCTGCACTGATCACCCAGGTGATGTAACTCTTGTCTAGGCTCCACCTACAGGGGGTATTGTAACGTATCTCTGCACTGATCACCTAGGTGATGTAAAATTTATCTAGGCTCTGCCTACAGGTGCGTTTTGACATAGCTCTGCACAGATCACCTATGTTATGTAACTCTTGTCCACTCTCTGCCTACAGGGGGCATTGTGGAATATCTCTGCACTGATCACCCAGGTGATGGGACTCTTCTCTATACTCTGCCTAGAGGGGGATTTGTGACATATCTCTGCACTGATCACCAAGGTGATGGAAGTCTTGTCTAGGCTCTGTCTATGGACGCATTGTGTCAAATGTCTGCACTGATCACCCAGGTGATGTACTTCTTTTCCAGGCTCTGTCTACAGGGATTTTTTTGACATATCACTGCATTGATCACCTAGGTGATGTAAGCCTTGTATGGCCTTTGCCTACAGAAGGCTTTGTGAAATATCTGTGCACTGATCTCTGAGGTGATACAACTCTTGTCTAGCCACTGCCTACAGGGGACATTGGTACATATCTCTGCACTGATCAACCAGGTGATGGACTCTTGTCTTAGATCTGCCTACATGTACGTTGTGACAAATCTCTGAACTGATCAACCAAGTGATGAAACTCTTGTCTAGGCTCTGCCTACAGGGGATTTGTGACACATTTTTGCACTGATCATCCTGGGGAGGGAACTCTTTTCTACGCTCTGCCTACAGGAGGCTTTATGACTTATAGCTGCACTGATAACCTAGGTGATGTAACAGTTGTCTAGGCTCTGTCTACCCGGGAATTCTCACATATCTCTGCACTTATCACCCAGGTGACGGACTCTTGAGTTGGAACTGCCTATGGGGGCATTGTGACATATCTCTGCACTGATCACCCAGGTGATGTAACTGTTGTATAAGCTCTGCCTACATGGGAATTGTGAGAGATCTCACCACTGATCACCCAACTGATGTAACTATTGTCTAGGCTTTGCCTACATGGGGCTTTGTGACATAACTTTGCACTGATCTCCCAGGTGATGTAACTCATCTAAGTTCTGCCTACAAGAGCTTTGTGACATATCTCTGCACTGATCACTTAGGTGATGTAAAAATTTTATAAGCACCTCCTACAGTGAATTTTGACAAATCTCTCCACGGATCACCTAGGTGATGTAACTCTTGTCTACCCTCTGCCCAAAGGAGGCATTGTTGAATATCTCTGCACTGATCACGCAGGTGATTCAACTGTTGTCTAGGATCTGCCTACAGGGAGTATTGTGAAATATCTCTGCACTGATCAACTAGGTGATGTAACCCTTGTCCAGGCTCTGCCTACAGGTGTGTTCACATATCCCTGAACTGATGACAAAGGTGATGTAACTCTTGCCTAGGCTTTGCCTACAGGGGACATTGTGACATATCTCTGCAATGATCACCCAGGTGATGCAACTCTTCTCTATGCTCTGCCTACAGGGGACATTGTGACATATCTCTGCACTGATCACCCAGGTGATGCAACTCTTCTCTATGCTCTGCCTACAGGGTGCATTGTGACATATCTCTGCACTGATCACCCACGTGATGTAACTTTTTTCTAGTCTCTGCCTACAGAGGGCGTTGTGACATCACTCTGCACGTGTCACCTGGGTTATGTAACTCTCGTGTAGGCTCTGCCTACGGGGGCATTGTGACTTATCTCTGTACTGATCACCCAGGAGATGTGACACTTGTCTAAGCTCTGCCTAGAGGGACATTCAGACATATCTCTGCACTGATCGCTGAGGTGATGTAAAACTTCTCTAGGCTATGCCTACAGTGGGATTTATGACATATCTCAGCACTGATCACACAGGTGATGTAACTGTGGTCTAGGCACTGCTTACAGTGGGTATTGTGAGATATCTCTTCACTGATCACCCAGGTGATGTAACTCTTGTCTAGGCTCTGCCTACAGGGGCATTTTAACACATCACTGCACTGATCACCGAGATGATGTAACTCTTGTATAGGCATTGCCGACAGGGGGCATTGAGACATATCTCTGCACTCATCACCGAGGTGAAGCAACTCTTGTCTGGGATGTGCTTACAGGGGGCATTGTGACATATCTCTGCCCTGATCACCCAGGTGATGTAACTCTTGTCTAGGCTATGCCTACTGGAGACATTGTGACATATCTCCGCATTGATCACTCAGGTGATGTCACTTTTCTCAAGGATATGGCTACAGGGACATTGTGACATGTCACTGCACTGATCACACAGATGATGTAACTCTTGTCTAGGCTCTGGCTACAGGGGTCGTGTGACACATCTCTGCACTGATCACCCAGGTGATGGGACTCTTGTCTAGGCTCTGCCTACAGGGGCATTGTGACATATCTCTGCAGTGATCACGCAGGTGATGTAACTCTTGTCTATGTCTGCCTCCTGGCGGCATTGTGGCATATTTCTGCACTGATCACCCATGTGATGGACTCTTGTCTTGGATCTGCCTATGGGGGCAAAGTGACATATCTCTGCACTGATCACTTATGTGACGTAACGCTTGTCTAAGCTGCACATGAAGGGGAATTGTGACAGATATCTCCACTGATCACCCAGGGGATGTAACAATTTTCTGGGATTTGTCTACAGGGGGCTTTGTGACATATCTTTGCACTGATCACGCAGGAGATGTAACAACTCTTATCTAGGCTCGGCGTACAGGGGTTTTGTGACATATTTCTGCACTGATCACCCAGGTGATGTAACTCTTGTTTAGACTCTGCCTACAGGGGCTTTGTGACATATCTCTGCACTGATCACCCAGTTGATGTAACTATTGTCTAGGCTCCATCTACAGGGGGTATTGTTACATATCTCTGTACTGATCACCCAGGTGACGTAACATTTATCTAGGCTCTGCCTACACGGGCGTTTTGACATAGCTCAGCAGAGATCACCTAGGTTATGTAACTCTTGTCCACTCTCTGCCTACAGGGGACATTGTGAAATATCTCTGCACTGATCACCCAGGTGATGCGACTCTTCTCTATACTCTGCCTAGAGGGGGATTTGTGACATATCTCTGCCCTGATCACCAAGGTGATGGAAGTCTTGTCTAGGCTCAGTCTATGGGGGCATTGTGTCAAATATCTGCACTGATCACCCACGTGATGTATCTCTTTTCTAGGCTCTGTCTACAGGGATTTTTTTCTGACATATCACTGCATTGATCACCTAGGTGATGTAAGCCTTGTATGGGCTTTGCCTACAGAAGGCTTTGTGAAATATCTGCACTGATCTCTGAGGTGATGCAACTCTTGTCTAGGCACTGCCTACAGGAGACATTGGTACATATCTCTGCACTGATCACCCAGGTGATGGACTTTTGTCTTAGATCTGCCTACATGGACATTGTGACACACCTATGAACTGATCAACCAAGTGATGAAACTCTTGTCTAGGCTCTGCCTACAGGGGATTTGTGACACATCTCTGCACTGATCACCCTGGGGAGGGAACTGTTGTCTACGCTCTGACTACAGAAGGTTTTATGACTTATACCTGCACTGATAACGTAGGTGATGTAACACTTGTCTAGGCTCTGCCTACACGGGAATTTTCACATATCTCTGCACTGATCACCCAGGTGACGGACTCTTGTCTTGGATCGGCCTAAGGGGGCATTGTGACATATCTCTGCACTGATCACCCAGGTGATGTAACTGTTGTATAAGCTCTGCCTACAGGGGAATTGTGAGAGATCTCGCCACTGATCACCCAACTGATGTAACTATTGTCTAGGCTTTGCCTACATAGGGCCTTGTGACATACCTTTGCACTGATCTCCCAGGTGATATAACTCATCTAATTTATGCCTACAGGAGCTTTGTGACATATCTCTGCACTGATAACTTAGGTGATGTAACACTTTTATAAGCACTGCCTACAGGGAATTTTGACAAATCTCTGCACGGATCACCTAGGTGATGTAAATCTTGTCTACCCTCTGCCCAAAGAGGGCATTGTGAAATATCTCTGCACTGATCACCCAGGTGATTCAACTCTTCTGTAGGATCTGCCTACAGGGGATATTGTGAAACGTCTCTGCACTGATCGACTAGGAGATGTAACTCTTGTCTAGGCTCTGCCTAAAGGGGCGCTTTCACATATCCCTGAACTGATGACAAAGGTGGTGTAACTCTTGCCTAGGCTTTGCCTACAGGAGACATTGTGACATATATCTGCACTGATCACCCAGGTGATGCAACTCTTCTCTATGCTCTGCCTTCAGGGGGCATTGTGACATAACTCTGCACTGATCACCCAGGTGATGGGACACTTGTCTAGGCTCTGCCTACAGGGGCATTGTGACATCTCTCTGCAGTGTTAACGCAGGTGATGTAACTCTTTTCTATATCTGCCTACTGGCGTCATTGTGGCATATATCTGCAATGATCACCCAGGTGATGGACTCTTGTCTTGGATCTGAATATGGGGGCATAGTGACATATCTCTGCACTGATCACTCATGTGATGTAACGCTTGTCTAATCTGCGCCTGAAGGGGAATTGTGACAGATATCTCCACTGATCACCCAGGTGATGTAACAATTTTCTGAGATTTGTCTACCGGGGGCTTTGTGACATATCTTTGCACTGATCACCCAGGAGATGTAACAACTCTTGTGTAGGCTCGGCCTACAGGGGCTTTGTGATATATTTCTGCACAGATTACCCAGGTGATGTAAGTCTTGTTTAGGCTCTGCCTACAGGGGCTTTGTGACATATCTCTGTGCTGATCACGCAGTTGATGTAACTCTTGTCCAGGATCCACCTACAGGGGTATTATGAAGTATCTCTGCACTGATCACCCAGGTGATGTAACATTTATCTAGGCTCTGCCTACACGAGCGTTTTGACATACCTCTGGACAGATCACCTCAGCTATGTAACTCTTGTCCACTCTCTGTCTACAGGGGGCATTGTGAAATATCTCTGCACTGATCACCCAGGTGATGCGACTCTTCTCTATACTCTGCCTAGAGGGGGATTTGTGACATATCTCTGCACTGATCACCAAGGTGATTGAAGTCTTGTCTGGGCTCTGTCTATGGCTGCATTTTGTCAAATGACTGCACTGATCACCAAGGTGATGTACCTCTTTTCTAGTCTCTGTCTACAGGGATTTGTGTGACATATCATTGCACTGATCACCTAGGTGATGTAAGTCTTGTATGGGCTTTGCCTACAGAAGGCTTTGTGAAATATCTCTGCACTGATCTCTGAGGTGATGCAACTCTTGTCTAGGCACTGCCTACAGGGGACTTTGGTAGATAACTCTGCACTGATCACCCAGGTGATGGACTCTTGTCTTAGATCTGCCTACATGGACATTGTGACACATCTCTGAACTGATCAACCAAGTGATGAAACTCTTGTCTACGCTCTGCCTACAGGAGGCTTTATGACTTATACCTGCATTGATAAACTAGGTGATGTAACACTTGTCTAGGCTCTGCCTACATGGGAATTCTCACATATTTCTGCACTGATCACCCAGTTGACGGAATCTTGTCTTGGATCTGCCTATGGGGGCATTGTGACATATCTCTGCATTGATCCCCCAGGTGAAGTAACTGTTGTATAAGCTCTGCCTACAGGGGATTTGTGAGAGACCTCGCAACTGATCACCCAAGTGATGTAACGATTTTCTAGGCTTTGCCTACAGGGGGCTTTGTGGCATACTTTTGCACTGATCTCCCAGGTGATGTAACTCATCTAAGTTATGCCTACAGGAGCTTTGTGACATATCTCTGCACTGATAACTTAGGTGATGTAACACTTTTATCAGCACTGCCTACAGGGAATTTTGACAAATCTCTGCACGGATCACATAGGGGATGTAAATCTTGTCTACCCTCTGCCCAAAGGGGGCATTGTGAAATATCTCTGCACTGATCACCCAGGTGATTCAACTCTTGTCTAGGATCTGCCTACAGGGGGTATTGTGAAATATCTCTGCACTGATCAACTAGGTGATGTAACTATTTTCTATGCTCTGCCTACAGGGGCGTTTTCACATATCCCTGAACTGATGACAAAGGTGATGTAACTCTTGCCTAGGCTTTGCCTATAGAGGACCCTGTGACATATCTCTTCAATGCTTGCCCAGGTGATGCAACTGTTCTCTATGCTCTGCCTACAGGGGACATTTTGACATATTCCTGCACTGATCACCCAGGTGATGCAACTCTTCTCTATGCTCAGCCTACAGGGGGCATTGTGACATATCTCTGCACTGTTCACCCAGGTGATGTAACTCTTTTCCACTCTCTGCCTACAGAGGGCTTTGTGACATCACTCTGCACGGATCACCGGGGTTATGTAACTCTCGTCTAGGCTCTGCCTACTGGGGCATTGTGACTTATCTCTGCACTGATCACCCAGGAGATGTGACTCTTTTCTAAGCTCTGCCTAGAGGGACATTGGGACATATCTCTGCACTGATCGCTGAGGTGATGTAAAACTTGTCTAGGCTTTGTCTACAGTGAGATTGATGACATATCTCTGCACTGATCACCTAGGTGATGTAACTGTTGTCTAGGCTCTGCTTACAGTGGGTATTGTGAGATATCTGTGCACTGATCACCCAGGTGATGTAACTCTTGTCTAGGCTCTGCCTACAGGGGCATTTCAACATATCACTGCACTGATCACCGAGATGATGTAACTCTTGTATAGGCTTCGCCGACAGGGGGCATTGAGACATATCTCTGCACTGATCACCGAGGTGATGCAACTTTTTTCTGGGATCTGCTTACAGGGGGCATTGTGACATATCTCTCTCCTGATCACCCAGGTGATGTAACTCTTGTCTAAGCTCGGCCTACTGGAGACATTGTGACATATCTCCGCACTGATCATCCAGGTGATGTCACTTTTCTCAAGGATATGGCTACAGGGACATTGTGACATGTCACTGCACTGATCACACAGCTGCATTAACTATTTTCTAGGCTCTGGCTACCAGGGTCTTTTGACACATCTCTGCACTGATTACCCAGGTGATGTAACCCTTTTCTAGGCTCCGTCAAGAGGGGGCATTGTGACATAACTCTGCACTGATCACCCAGGTGATGGGACTCTTGTCTAGTCTATGCCTACAGGGGCATTGTGACATATCTCTGCAGTGATCACGCAGGTGATATACCTCTTGTCTATATCTGCCTACTGGCAGCACTGTGGCATATTTCTGCACTGATCACCCAGGTGATGGACTCTTCCTTGGATCTGCCTATGGGGGCATAGGGACATATCTCTTCACTGATCACTCCTGTGATGTAACGCTTGTCTAAGCTGCGCCTCAACGGGAATTGTGACAGATATCTCCACTGATCACCAAGGTGATGTAACGATTTTCTGGGATTTATCTACAGGTGGCTTTGAGACATATCTTTGCACTGATCACCCAGGAGATGTAACAACTCTTGTGTAGGCTCGGCCTACAGGGGCTTTGTGACACATTTTTTGTCACTTTTTTTTGACATATCACTGCACTGATCACCTAGGTGATGTAAGCCTTGTATGGGCTTTGCCTACAGAAGACTTTGTGAAATACCTGTGCACTGATCTCTGAGGTGATGCAACTCTTGTCTAGGCACTGCCTACAGGAGACATTGGTACATATCTCTGCACTGATCAACCAGGCGATGGACTCTTGTCTTAGATCTGCCTACATGGACATTGTGACACATCTCTGAACTGATCAACCAAGTGATGAAACTCTTGTCTAGGCTCTGCCTACAGGGGCTTTGTGACACATCTCTGCACTGATCACCCTGGGGAGGGAACTCTTGTCTATACTCTGCCCACAGGAGGCTTTATGACTTATACCTGCACTGAAAACCTAGGTGATGTAACACTTGTCTAGGCTCTGCCTACATGGGAATTCTCACATATCCCTGCACTAATCACTCAGGTGACGGATTCTTGTCTTGGATCTGCCTATGGGGGCATTGTGACATATCTCTGCAATGATCACCCAGGTGATGTAACTGTTGTATAAGCTCTGCCTACAGGGGAATTGTGAGAGATCTCGCCACTGGTCACCCAAGTGATGTAACTATTGTCTAGGCTTTGCCAACATGGGGCTTTGTGACATACCTTTGCACTGATCACCCAGGTGATGTAACTCTTCTAAGTTCTGCCTACAGGAGCTTTGTGACATATCTCTGCATTGATCACTTGGGTGATGTAACACTTTTATAAGCACTGCCTACAGGGAATTTTGACAAATCTCTGCACTGATCACCCAGGTGATGTAACTCTTTCTTAAGATCTCCCTACAGGGTGTTTTGTGACATATCCCTGCAATGATTACCCAGGTGATCTACCACTTGTCAAGGCTCTGACTACAGGGACATTTGGAGGTAACTCTGCACTGATCACCTAGGTCATGAAACTCTTTTCTAGGCTCACCCTACAGTGGCATTGTGACATATCTCTGCACTGATCATCCAAGTGATGTAACCCTTGTCTAGGATCTGCCTAAAAGGACTTTGTGACGTAACTCTGCACTGATCATCCAGGTGATGGGGCTTTTGTCTAGGCTCTGCTAAGGGGGAATTGTGACATATTTCTGCACTGACCACCCAGGTGACGGACTCTTGTCTTGGATCTTCCTATAGGGGCACTGTGACATATCTCTGCACTGATCACCCATGTGATGCAACTGTTGTATAAGCTCTGCCTACAGGGGAACTGTGAGAGATCTCGCCACTGATCACCCAAGTGATGAAACTATTGTCTAGGTTTTGCCTACAGTGGGCTTGGTGACATACCTTTGCACTGATCACCCAGGTGATGGAACTCATCTATGTTCTGCCTACAGGAGCTTTGTGACATATCTCTGCACTGATCACTTAGGTGATGTAACAGTTTTATAAACACTGCCTACAGGGAATTTTGACAAGTCTCTGCACTGATTACCTAGCTGTTGTAACTCTTTTTTACCCTCTGCCAAAAGGGGGCATTGTGAAATATCACTGCACTGATCACCCAGGTGATGCAACTCTTCTCTATGCTCTGCCTACAGGGACATTGTGACATATCTCTGCACTGATCACCCAGGTGATGTAACCCTTTTCTAGTCTCTGCCTACGGAGGGCGTTGTGACATCTCTCTGCACGTATCACCCGGGTTATGTAAGTCTTGTCTAGGCTCTGCCTAGAGGGGCATTGTGTCATATCTCTGCTCTGATCACACAGGTGATGTAATCCTTTTCTAGTCTCTGCCTACGGATTGCGTTGTGACATCACTCTGCACGGATCACCCGGGTTATGTAACTGTTGTCTAGGATCTGCCTAGAGGGGCTTTGGGACATATCTCTGTACTGATCGCTGAGGTGATGTAAAACTTGTCTAGGCTTTGCCTACAGTGGTATTTATGACATATCTCTGCCCTGATCACCCAGGTGATGTAACTCTTGTCTAGGCTCTGCTTACACGGGGTATTGTGAGATATCTCCTCACTGATCACCCAGGCGATGTAACTCTTTTATAGCCTCTGCCTACAGGGGCATTTTAACATATCACTGCACTGATCAGCGAGATGATGTAAGTGTTGTATAGGCTTCGCCGACGGGGTCATTGAGACATATCACTGCACTGGTCACCGAGGTGATGCAACACTTTTCTAGTCTCTGCCTACAGAGGGCGTTGTGACATCACTCTGCACGGATCACCCAGCTGATGGGACTTTTGTCTAGGCTCTGCCTATGCGGGCATTGTGACATATCTCTGTACTGATCACCCAGGTGATGTAACTCTTGCGTTGTATCTGCCTATGGTGCCGTTGTGACATATTGCTTCACTGATCACCCAGGTGATGGGACTCTTGTCTAGGCTCTGTGTTTGGGGGTTTTGTGACATATCTCTGCACTGATCACCCAGGTGATGTAACGCTTGACTAGGCTCTGCCTACGGGGCATAGTGACATATCACTGCATTGATCACCGAGGTGATGTAACTCTTGTCCAGGCTCTGCCTATAGGGGGCCTTGTGACATATCTCTGCAATGATCACCTAGGTGATGTAACTCTTGCTTACGCTCTGCCTGCAGGGGCATTGTGAAATATCTCTGCACTGACCACCCAGCTGACGGGACTGTTCTCTAGGCTCTGCCTACTGGGAGCATTGTCACATATTTCTGCACTGATCACCCAGGTGACGGACTCTTCCCTTGGATTTGCCTATGGGGGCATTGTGACATATCTCTGCACTGATCACCCAGGTGATGTAACTCTGCTCTTAGCTCTGCCTAAAGGGGAATTGTGACAGATATCTGCACTGATCACTCAGGTGATGTAACTATTGTCTAGGCTCTGCTTAAAGGGGCCTTGTCACATATGTCTGCACGGATCACCCAGGTAATGCAACTCTTGTCTAAGTTCTGCTTAAAGGGGGTATTGTGACATAATTCTGCACTGATCACCTAAGTGATGTAACACTTGTATAGGCTCTGCCTACAGGCGCATTTTGACATATCTCTGCACTGTTAACCGAGGTGATGCTACACTTGTCTAGGCTGTGCCCACAGGGGGATTGAGACATATCTCTGCACTAATCCCGAGGTCATCCAACTCTTGCCTGGTCTCTGCCTACTGGGGACATTGTGACGTATCTAGGCACTGATCTCCCAGGTGCTGTAACTTTAGTCTAGGCTCTCGCTACACAGCATCGTGACATATCACTGCACTGATCACCCAGGTAATATAACTCTCGTCTAGGCTCTGCCTACAGGGGGCTTGTGACATATCTCTGCACAGATCACCCAGGTGATATAACTCTTCTATAGGATCTGCCTACAGGGTGCTTTGTGACATATCCCTGCAATGATCACCCAGGTGATATACTACTTGTCAAGGCTCAGCCTACAGGGGCATTGAGATGTATATCTGCACTGATCACCTAGGTCATGTAACTCTTCTCTAGGCTCTGCCTACAGTGGCATTGTGACATACCTCTGCACTGATCACCCAGGTGATGTAACTCTTTTCTAGGATCTGCCTACAGGGTGCTTTGTGACATATCCCTGCAATGATCACCCAGGTGATGTACCACTTCTCAAGGCTCTGCCTACAGGGACATTGCAATGTATCTCTGTACTGATCACCAAGGTCATGTAACTCTTGTCTAGGCTCTGCCTACAGTGGCATTGTGACATATCTCTGCACTGATCATCCAAGTGATGTAACCCTTGTCTAGGATCTGCCTAAAGGGACTTTGTGACATAAGTCTGCACTGATCATCCAGGTGATGGGGTTTTTGTCTAGGCTCTGCCTAAGGGGGCATTGTGACATATTTCTGCACTGATCACCCAGGTGACGGACTCTTGTCTTGGATCTGCCTATGGGGGTACTGTGACATATCTCTGCACTGATCACCCAGGTGATGAAACTTTTGTATAAGCTCTGCCTACAGGGGAATTGTGAGAGATCTCGCCACTGATCACCCAAGTGATGTAACTATTGTATAGTCTTTGCCTACAGAGGGTTTTGTGACATACCTTTGCTCTGATCACCCAGGTGATGTAACTCATCTAAGTTCTACCTACAGGAGCTTTATGACGTATCTCTGCACTGATCACTTATGTAACACTTTTATAAGCACTGCCTACAGGGAATTTTGACAAATCTCTGCACTGATCACATAGGTGATGTAACTCTTGTCTACCCTCTGCCCAAAGGGGGCATTGTGAAATATCTCTGCACTAATCACCCAGGTGATTCAACTCTTGTCTAGGATTTGCCTACAGGGGTTATTGTGAAATATCTCTGCACTGATCATCTAGGTGATGTAACTCTTGTCTATGGTCTGCCTACAGGGGCGGTTTCACATATCCCTGAACTGATGACAAAGGTGATGTAACTCTTGCCTAGGCTTTGCCTAGAGGGGACATTGTGACATATCTCTGCACTGATCACCCAGGTGATGCAACTCTTCTCTATGCTCTGCCTACAGGGGACATTGTGATATATCACTGCACTGATCACCCAGGTGATGCAACTCTTCTATATGCTCTGCCTTCAGGGGGCATTGTGACATAACTCTGCACTGATTACCCATGTGATGTAACTCTTTTCTAGTCTCTGCTACAGAGGGCGTTGTGACATCACTCTGCATGGGACACCCCGGTTATGTAACTCTTGTCTAGGCTCTGCCTATGGGGGCATTTTGACATATCTCTACACTGATAACCCAGGTGATGTAACTATTGTATAAGCTCTGCTTACAGGGGAATCGTGAGAGATCTCGCCACTGATCACCCAAGTGATGTATCCATTGTCCAGGCTTTGCCTACAGGGGTCTTTGTGACATAGCTTTGCACTGATCACCCAGGTGATGTAACACATCTAAGTTCTGCCTACAGGAGCTTTTTGACATATATCTGCATTGATCACTTAGGTGATGTATCACTTTTATAAGCACTGCCTACAGGGAATTTTGACAAATCTCTGCACTGATCACCTAGGTGATGTAACTCTTGTCTACCCTCTGCCCAAGGGGGCATTGTGAAATATCTCTGCACTGATCACCCAGGTGATTGAACTCTTGTCTAGGATCTGCCCACAGGGTGTATTTTGAAATACCTCAGCACTGATCAACTAGGTGTTGTAACTCTTGTCTAGGCTCTGCCTACAGGGGCGTTTTCACATATCCCTGAACTGATGACAAAGGTGATGTAACTCTTGCTTAGGCTTTGCCTACAGGGGACATTGTGACATATATCGGCACTGATCACCCAGGTGATGCAACTCTGGCCTAGCGTTTGCCTACAGGGGACATTGTGACATACATCTGCACTGATCACCCAGGTGATGCAACTCTTCTCTATGCTCTGCTTACAGGGGACATTGTGACATATCTCTGCACTGATCACCCATGTGATGCAACTCTTCTTTATGTTCTGTCTACAGGGGACATTGTGACATATCTCTGCACTGATCACCCAGGTGATGTGTTTTGTAGTCTCTGCCTACAGAGGGCGTTGTGACATCATTCTCCGCGGATCACCTGGATTATGTAACTCTTGTGTAGGCTCTTCCTATGGGGGCATTGTGACTTATCTCTGCACAGATCACCCAGGAGATGTGACTCTTGTCTAAGCTCTGCCTAGAGGGACATTGGGACATATCTCTGCACTGATCGCTGAGGTGAGGTAAAATTGTCTAGGCTTTGCCTACACTGAGATTCATGACATATCACTGCACTGATCACCCAGGTGATGTAACTCTTGTCTGGGCTCTGCTTACAGGGGTTATTGTGAGATATCTCTGCACTGATCACCCAGGTGATGCAACTCTTGTCTAGGCTCTGCCTACAGCGGCATTTTAACATATCACTGCACTGATCACCGATAAGATGTAACTCTTGTATAGGCTTCGCCAACAGGGGGCATTGAGACATATCTCTGCAATGATCACCGAGGTGATGCAACTCTTGTTTGGGATCTGCCTACAGGGGGCATTGTGACATATCTCTGCCCTGATCACCCAGGTGATGTAACTCTTGTCTTGGCCTGCCTACTGGAGACATTGTGACATATCTCCGCACTGGTCACCCAGGTGATGTCATTTTTGTCAAAGATATGGCTACAGGGACATTGTGACATGTCACTGCACTGATCACACAGCTGATGTAACTCTTGTCTAGGCTCTGGCTACAGGGGGCTTGTGACACTTCTCTGCACTGATCACCCAGGTGATGTAACCCTTGTCTAGGCTCTGCCAAAAGGGGGCATTGTGACATACCTCTGCACTGATCACCCAGGTGATGGGACTGTTGTCTAGGCTCTGCCTACAGGGGCATTGTGACATATCTCTGCACTGATAACGCAGGTGATGTAACACTTGTCTATATCTGCCTACTGGCAGCATTGTGGCATATTTCTGCACTGATCACCCAGGTGATGGACTCTTGTCTTGGATCTGCCTATGGGGGCATAGTGACATATGTATGCACTGATCACGCAGGTGATGTAACACTTGTCTATATTTGCCTACTGGCGGCATTTTGGCATATTTCTGCACTGATCACCAAGGTGATGGACTCTTGTCTTGGATCTGCCTATGGGGGCATAGTGACATATATCTGCACTGATCACTCATGTAACGCTTGACTAAGCTGTGCCTAAAGGGGAATTGTGACAGATATCTTCACTGATCACCCAGGTGAAGTAACAATTTTCTGGGATTTGTCTACAGGGGGCTTTGTGACATATCTTTGCACTGATCACCCAGGAGATGTAACTCTTGTCTAGGCTCGGCCTACATGGGCTTGTGACATATTTCTGCACTGATCACCCAGGAAATGTAACTCTTGTTCAGGCCCTGCCTACAGGGCTTTGTGACATATTTCTGTACTGATCACCCAGGTGATGTTACTCTTGTCTAGTCTCCTCCTACCGGGGTTATTGTGACGTGTCTCTGCACTGTTCACCCAGGTGATGTAACTCTTGTCTAGGCTCCACCTACAGGGGGTATTGTGACGTATCTCTGCACTGATCACCCAGGTGATGTAACATTTATCTAGGCTCTGCCTACAGGGGCGTTTTGACATAGCTCTGCACAGATCACCTAGGTTATGTAACTCTTGTCCACTCTCTGCCTACAGGGGGCAGTGTGAAATATCTCTGCACTGATCACCCAGGTGATGGGACCCTTCTCTATACTCTGCCTGGAGGGGATTTGTGATATATCTCTGCACTGATCACCCAGGTGATGGAAGTCTTGTCTAGGCTCTGTCTACAGGGATTTTTGTGACATATCACTGCACTTATAACCTAGGTGACGTAAGCCTTGTATGGGCTTTGCCTACAGAAGGCTTTGTGACATATCTATGCACTGATCTCTGAGGTGAGGCAACTCTTGTCTAGGCATTGCCTACAGGGGACATTGGTACATATCTCTGCTCGGATCACCCAGATGATGGACTCTTATCTTCGATCTGCCTACATGGACATTGTGACACATCTTTGTACTGATTATCCATGTGATGAAACTCTTGTCTAGGCTCTGCCTACAGGGGCTTTGTGACACACCCCTGCACTGATCACCCTGTGGAGGGAACTCTTGTCTACTGTCTGCCTACAGGAGGCTTTATGGCTTATACCTACACTGATAACCTAGGTGATGTAACAGTTGTCTAGGCTCTGACTACATGGGAATTCTCACATATCTCTGCACTGATCACCCGGGTGATGGAACTGCTGTATAGTTTCAGCCTACAGGAGCGTTTTGACATATCTCTGCACTGATCACCCAGGTGATGTAACCCTTGTTTAAGCTCTATCTACAGGGGCATTGTGACAGATCTCTCCACTGCTCACCCAGGTGATGTAACACTTGTCTGGGCTTGGCCTACAGGGAGCATTGTGATGTACATTGCCACTGATCAAACAGGTGATGTAACCCTTAAGGTTCTGCTTACAGGGGCTTTGTGACATATCTCTACACTGATCACCCCAGGGAGGAAACAATTGTCTACACTCTACCTACAGGAGGCTTTACGACTTATCCCTGCACTGATCACTAGGTGATGTAACACTTGTCTTGGCTCTGTCTACACGGGAATTTTCACATATCTCTACACTGATCACCTAAGTGATTTAACCCTTGTCTAGGTTCAGCCTACTGGGGATTTCTGACATACCTATGCACTGATCACCGAGGTGATGTAAATCTTTTCCAGGCTTTTTGTACAGGGGACATTGTGATATATCTCTGCACTGATCACCCAAATGATGCAAATCTTCTCTAGGCTCCACAGGGAGGGGGCATTGTGACATATTTCTGAACTGATCATCCAGGAGATGTAACTATTCTCCAGGCTTTGACTAAAGAGCGTCGGAATGTGCTGGGAGAGCCTCAGTCGGAATTTCATGGATGGACAAGGGCACAGAGAGGCCAGCGAGTTCCCTTGCATGTCAGCCACGGTGCGCAATGAGCGCAGGTCTAGCCAGGAGGCTGGAAAAGAGAGCTAGAGGTCTGCGTTCCACAACCAGGCACTCCATGGTGGTAGCTGGCAGGCTGCAGGGTCACGGGCGTGCTGGCGACGGTGGCGGGGAGGCGCAGAAGGGGCGAGCCGCCAGAGGGGTGTCAGGCCTGGACGCAGCTCAGGCCCGGTGTTTCGCGGGATGGGTGTATCCACTCAGCCCAGGGGAGGACGCATTTTCCAGGGGAAGGCGGTGGGGGTGGGGAGGGGGTGGTCAGGCGTGGTTGTGGTGGTGGAAAGGCATGAGAGCTCTGCCCGGGCTGCTCCCACAGCCCAGGCGGCTGCCCGCAAAACCGCATGTGCGCAGTAGGCGGCCCACCTGCTGGTACCTGGGCCAGCTCTGGTATCCCCGGGATGCCCAGGAAAGAATGGCAGTTCTCCGCTTTGTGGAGTCTCTCACCGGGCCTAGACCTAGAAGGCAGGAATCCCAGGCCGGTCTGCCTGGTGGAATGGGCGGGGTGAAGACACGCCCCTCCATAGCCAGCCAGGTGTTCCCTGCAAAAGAGAGGCCACCGCCCCGCCCCGACCCGACCCCGTTCCAACCCCGTGTCCTAAAGCTCCTCCAGCAGAGCCCGGTATTCTTCCTCGCTTAGGGGCCCTTCCAGTGAGGTGGCCTCTTCCAAGGCCTCCGGCTACCCTGGGTCCTCCGTTTCTAGGAATGGTTGTGCCTGCTGCAGAAACTCCGGGCTCGCCAGGAGCTCATCCAGCAGCTGGCCGGAGGGGAGTGCAGAAGAGCACCCCGGCTCCCAGAGCGCCTGGGAGAGCGCCGGGATGCCTTGCATCTGCCCCTGCTGCGGGGAGGCCTCCGGGGGCATGGGCTGGTGAGGTGGAGCTGCCCCAGCTTGGGGTTCCCATGCCGCCCCGGCGACCTTGGGACCCTGGCCCCAGCCCCACCACGGACTCACCTGGGACGCGGGTTGCGCAAGCTCACCTTGGCCCTGTGGCCCTGTTGAGCTGGCCCAGGCTGTCCCACTGCGCAAGGGCCCGGCAGGCCGTCGCTCTGCGGGTCCCGGTTCTCCCGGCTTTTGCCCAGGTGCGGAGGCCACTGAGGAGCCTGAGGGTGGGAGAGCGCCCCTTCTGGAGGAACTGGGGTGGCGTAGGCAAAATCCCCACATGCCAGGGCAGGTTGGAAGAACCCCTCTGCCGGCGCGGCTTGGCTGGGCTGGAGCACGGGGACGGCCCTCACTCCTTGGCTCAAGAAAGCCTCCTGTGGTAGAGCCCCAGGCGCGCATTACACGTGGTGTGCAAGAAGCCCCGTTCCCCACACACCGGTGTGGGCGAAGGCGACACACGAGGGATCAGGGTGACACCTGATGGGGGCCGAGTTGCACAGGCTGCCTGCTTGCGCGGACGCCCTGCCAGCCTGTCCCGGGTGCCTGGCCCTTCGATTCTGAAACCAGATCTGAATCCTGTACTCCGGGAGGCCCGTCTCTCTTGCCAGCTCTTCCCTGGCGGTGATACCTGGAAAGCGATCCTTCTCAAAGGCTCGGAGGAGCCGGTCGTCTGGGATCAGGTGCCGGCGGTTCGCTTTTGCCTGCCTTCTTGCGGGCCGTGTCTCCCGGGCCAGGGCCGAGATTCCCGCCGGTGCTGCCTCAGTTGGCATGACCTCTCATTCTGAAACCAAAACTGGACCCTGGGCTCCGGAATGCCGATGGCCTGTGCCAGCTGTTCTCTGGTCGTAATGCCCGGGTACGGGTTCCACTCAAATCAGGCTCGCAGGGCCTCGCTTTGGCTCAGGGTCCAAACGAGTCTCCTTCGCTGTCCCCGTCCCCGGGCTTCCGCGGGGAGGGTGCTGTCTGAAGGTGTCGGGAGGGACATCGCGGGGATCACCGGCCAGAATTTCATGGACGGACACGGGCAGAGAGAGGCCGGCGGGTTCCCGTGCACCTCAGCCGGCCTGTGCACTGCGACACGTGCAGCCAGGAGGCCTGCCCGGACAGCCAGCCAGCGGCTCTTATAAAGGCCTGCAGGCAGGCAGGCTCCACCACTTCATGAATGGCGGTGAGCCCTGGGACAGCCCGCCCCACCCCGGAATGTTCCCAGGGCATCGAGGCCCTGGGGTGGAGGGCGTGGTGACGGTGGGGCCGGAGAAACGAAGAGGAAGGGGGCGAGAGGGAAGGTGTGAGGGGGGCACGTATCGGGGGCTGGCTCTCCGGACCTCTCCAGGAATCCCGTGGGAACTGGAAGCCTCTCTCTGGGCTCCCAGAGATTCAACTCTTCCCTAGGATCTGCCTACAGGGGCGTTTTCACATATCCCTAAACTGATGAAAAAGGTGACGTAACTCGTACCTAGGCTTTGCTTACAGGGGACATTGTGACATATCTCTGCATTGATCTCCCAGGTGATGCAACTCTTCTCTGTGCTCTGCCTACAGGGGACACTGTGACATATCTCTGCACTGATCACCCAGGTGATGTAAATCTTTTCTAGTCTCTGCCTACAGAGGGCGTTGTGACATCACTCTGCACGGATCACCCGGGTTATGTAACTCTTGTCTAGGCTCTGCCTATGGGGGCATTGTGACATCTCTGCACTGATTACCCAGGAGAGGTGACACTTGTCTAAGCTCTGCCTAGAGGGACATTGGGACATATCTCTGCACTGATCACTGAGGTGATGTAAAACTTGTCTAGGCTTTGCCTACAGTGGGATTTATGAAATATCTCTGCACTGATCACCCAGGTGATGTAACTCTTGTCTAGGCTCTACTTACCGGGCGTATTGTGAGATATCTCTGCACTGAAAACCCAGGAGATGAAACTCTTGTCTAGTCTCTGCCTATGGGGGCAATTTAACAAATCACTGCACTGATCACCGAGATGATGTAACTCTTGTATAGGCTTTGCCAACAGGGGGCATTGAGATATATCTCTGCACTGATCACCGAGGTGATGCAACTCTTGTCTGGGATCTGCTTACAGTGGACATTGTGACATATCTCTGCCCTGATCACCCAGGTGATGTAACTCTTGTCTAGGCTCTGCCTATTCGAGACATTGTGACATATCTCCGCACTGATCACCCAGGTGATGTCACTTTTGTAAAGATACGGCTAGAGGGATATTGTGACATGTCACTGCACTGATCACACAGCTGATGTAACCCTTGTCTAGGCTCTGGCTACAGGGGGCTTGTGACACATCTCTGCACTTATCACCCAGGTGATGTAACCCTTCTCTAGGCTCTGCCAAAAGGGGGCATTGTGACATACATCTGCACTGATCATCCAGGTGATGGGACTCTTGTCTACGCTCTGCCTGTAGGGGCATTGTGACATATCTCTGCAGTGATCACGCAGGTGATGTAACTATTGTCTATATCTGCCTACTGGCAGCATTGTGGCATACTTCTGCACTGATCACCCAGGTGATGGACTCCTGTCTTGGATCTGCCTATGGGGGCATAGTGACATATCTCTGCACTGATCACCGAGGTGATGCAACTCTTGTCTGGGCTCTCCTTCCAGGGGGCATTGTGACATATCTCTGCCCTGATCACCCAGGTGATGTAACTCATTTCTAGGTTCCGTCTACAGGGGCTTTTTGACATATCTCTGAAGTGATCACCGAGGTGATGTAACTCTTGTCTAGGCATTGCTTACAGTGTGCATTGCAACATATCTCTGCACTGATCACTCAGGCGATGCAACTCTTCTCTAGGCTCTGCCTACAGTGTGCATTGTGACATATCTCTGCACTGATCTCCCCGATAATGTAACCTTTGCCTAGGCTCTGGCCACACGGCATTGTGACATATCACTGCACTGATCACCCATGTGATATAACTCTTGTCTAGGCTCTGCCTACAGTGGCATTGTGACATATCTCTGCACTGATCACCCAGGTGATATAACTCTTGTCTAGGATCTGCGTAAATAGACTTTGTGACATAAACCTGCACTGATCATCCAGGTGATGGGGCTTTTGTCTAGGCTCTGCCCACGAGGGCATTCTGACGTATTTCTGTACTGAACACCCAGGTGACGGACTCTTGTCTTGCATCTGCTTATGGGGGCATTGTGACATATCTCTGCACTGATCACCCAGGTGATGTAACTGTTGTATAAGCTCTTCCTACAGGGGAATTGTGAGAGATGTCTTTACTGATCCCCCAAGTAATGTAACTATTGTCTAGGCTTTGCCTACAGGGGGCTTTGTGACATAACTTTGCACTGATCACCCAGGTGATGTAACTCATTTAAGCTCTGCCTACAGGGGCTTTGGGACATATCTCTGCACTTATCACTCCTGGTGAGAATTCTTGGCTAGGCTCTGCCTACAGGGAGCTTTGTGACATATATCTCTGCACTGATCACCTAGGTGATGTAACACTTTTATAAGCTCTGTCTACAGGGAATTTTGACAAACCTCTGCACTGATCACCTAGGTGATTTAACACTTCTCTACCCTCTGCCTACAGGAGGCAATGTGAAAAATCTCTGCACTGATCACCCAGGTGATGCAAGTCTTCTCTAAGATCTGTCTACAGTGGGTATTCTGAAATATCTCAGCACTGATCACCTAGGTGATGTAACTTTTTTCTACCCTCTGCCTACAGGGGACAATGTGAAAAATCTCTGCACTGATCACCCAGGTGATGCAAGTCTTGTCTAGGATCTGCCTAAAGGGGCATTTTAATATATCTCTGAACTGATGGCAAAGATGATGTAACTCTTGCCTAGGCTCTGCCTACAGGGGACATTGTGACATATCTCTGCACTGATCACCCAGGTGATGTAACTCTTGTCTAGGCTCTGCCTACAGGGGCATTTTAACACATCACTGCACTGATCACCGAGGTGATGCAACTCTTGTCTGGGATCTGCCCACAGAGGGCATTGTGACATATCTCTGACGTGATCACCCAGGTGATGTTACTCTTGTCTAGGCTCTGCCTAATGGAGACATTGTGATAGACATTGTGACTTATCTCTGCACTGATCACCCAGCTGATGTAACTCTTGTCTAGGCTCTGGCCACAGGGACATAGTGACATATCTCTGCACTGATCTCTCAGGTGAGGTAACTCTTGTGTAGTCTCTGCCTACAGAGGGCTTTGTGACATCACTCTGCAATGATCACCCAGGTGATGTAACCCTTGTCTAGGCTCTGCCTACATGGACATTGTGACATGTCTCTGCACTGATCACCCAGGTGATGTAAATTTTGTCTGGGCTCTGCCCACAGGTGCATTTTGACATATCTCTGCACTGGTCATGGAGATGATGTAACTCTTGTCTGGGCTTTGCTGACAGGAGGCATTGAGATATATCTCTGCACTGATCACCGAGATGATGCAACTCTAGTCTGGGCTCTGCCTACAGGGGGATTGTGACATATCTCTGCACTGATCACCCAGGTGATGTAACTCTTGTCTAGGCTCTGCCTCAAGGGGGTATTGTGACATATCACTACACTGATCACACAGGTGATGTAACTCTTCTCTAGGCTCTGCCTACAAGGTGCTTTGTGACATCACTCTGTATTGATCATCCCGGTGATGTAACTTTTGTCTAGGCTCTGCCTACAGGGACTTCGTGACATATCTCTGCACTGATCACCCAGGTGATGGGACTTTTGTCTAGGCTCTGCCTATGGGGGCATTGTGACATATCTCTACACTGATCACCCAGGTGATGTAACTCTTGTGTTGGGTCTGCCTATGGGGGCATTGTGACATATTTCTGCACTGATCACCCTGGTGATTGGACTCTTGCTTACGCTCTGCCTGCAGCGGCATTGTGAAATTTCTCTTTACTGATCAACCAGGTGATGTAACCCTTGTCTAGGATCTGCCTACAGGGTGCTTTGTGGCATAGCCCTGCAATGGTCACCCAGGTGATATACCACTTGTCAATGCTCTGCCTACACGGGCATTGTGATGTATCTCTGCACTGATCACCTAGGTCATGTAACTATTGTCTAGGCTCTGCTTACAGGGGGTATTTTGGCATATCTCTGCACTGATCACCTAAGTGATGTAACACTTGAGTAGGTTCTGCCTACAGTGACATTTTGACATACCTCTTCCCTGATAAGCAAGGTGATTTAACTCTTGTCTCCGCTTTTCCCACAGAGGGATTGAGACTTATCTCTGCACTGATCCCGAGGTGATCCAAATCTTTTCTAGGCTCTGCCTACTGGGGACATTGTGACATATCTCTGTACTGATCTCCCAGGTGATGAAACTTTTGTCTAGGCTCTGGCTACACAGCATTGTGACATATCACTGCACTTATCACCCAGGTGATATAACTCTTGTCTAGGCTCTGCCTGCAGGGGGCTTGTGACATATCTCTGCACTGCTCACCCAGGTGATGTAACTCTTGTCTAGGATCTGCCTACAGGGTGCTTTGTGACATATCCCTGCAATGATCACCCAGGTGATGTACCGCCTGTCAAGGCTCTGCCTACAGAGGCATTGTGATGTATCTCTGCACTGATCACCTAGGTCATGTAACTCTTTTCTAGACTCTGCCTACACTGGCATTGTGTCATATCCCTGCACTGATCACCCAGGTTATGTAACTGTTGTCTAGGATCTGCCTACAGGGTGCTTTGTGACATATGCCTGCAATTATCACCCAGGTGATGTACCACTTGTCAAGGCTCTGCCTACAGGGGGATTGTGATGTATCTCTGCACTGATCACCTGGGTCATGTAACTCTTGCCTAGGCTCTGCCTACAGTGGCATTGTGACATATCTCTGCACTGATCACCCAACTGATGTAACTGTTGTCTAGGATCTGCCTAAAGGGTCTTTGTGACATAACTCTGCCCTCATCATCCAGGTGATGGGGCTTTTGTCTAGGCTCTGCCTACAGGGGCATTGTGACGTATTTCTGCTCTGTTCACCCAGGTGACAGACTATTGTATTGCATCTGCCTATGGGGGCATTATGACATAGCTCTGCACTGATCACCGAGGAGATGTAACTGTTGTATAAGCTCTGCCTACTTGTGAGTTGTGAGAGATCTCTCCACTGATCACCCAAGTGATTTAACTATTGTCTTGGCTTTTCCTGCAGTGGGCTTTGTGAAATATCTGTGCACTGATCACCCAGGTGATGTAAGTCATCTAAGCTCTGCCTACAGGGGCCTTGTGACTTATCTCTGACCTGATCACTCCCGGCGTGGGAATTCTTGTCTAGGCTCTGCCTACAGGGGGCTTTGTGACACATCTCTGCACTGATCACCTAGGCAATGTAATAGTTTTATAAGCTCTGCCTACAGGGAATTTTCACAAATCTCTGCACTGATCACCTAGATGATGTACCTCTTGTCTACCCTCTGCCTACAGGGGGCATTTTGATATAGCTCTGCACTGATCACCCAGGTGATGCAACTCTTCTCTAGGATCTGCCTAAAGGGGGTATTGTGAAACATCTCTGCACTGATCAACTAGGTGATGTAACTCTTGTCTAGGCTCTGCCTACAGGGGCGTTTTGACATATCTCTGAACTGATGACAAATGTGATGTAAGTCTTGCCTAGGCTTTGACTACAGGGGACATCCTGACATATCTCTGCACTGATCACCCAGGTGATGCAACTATTCTCTAGGCTCTGCCTACAGGGGACTTTGTGACATATCTCTGCAATGATCAACTAGGTGATGTAACTGTTGTCCAGGCTCTGCCTATGGGGGCATTGTGACGTATCTCTGCACTGATCAATCCGGAGATGTGACACTTTTCTAAGCTCTGCCTACAGGGGCATTGGGAGACATCTCTGCACTGATCACTGAGGTTATTTAAAACTTGTCTAGGCTTTGCCTACAGTAGGATTTTTGACGTATCTCTGCACTGATCACCCAGTTGATGTAACTCTTGTCTAGACTTTGCCTACAGGGGGTATTTTGAGATATCTCTGCACTGATCACCGAGGTGAAGTAACTCATGTCTAGGCTCTGCCTACTGGAGACATGGTGACATATCTCTGCATTGATCACCCAGATGATGTAACTCTTGTCTAGGCTGTGGCCACAGGGACATAGTGACATATATCTGTGCTGATCACTTATGTGATGTAACTCTTGACTAATCTTTGCCTACAGAGGGCGTTGTGACATATCTCTGCACTGATCTCTCAGGTGAGGTAACTCTTGTCTAGTCTCTACCTACAGAGGTCGTTGTGAAATCACTCTGCAATGATCACCCAGGTGATGTAACACTTGTCTAGGCTCTGCATACATGGACATTGTGACATGTCTCAGCACTGATCACCCAGGTGATGTAAATTTTGTCTAGGCTCTGCTCACAGGAGCATTTTGACATATCTCTGCACTGATCACTGAGATGATGTAACTCTTCTCTGGGCTTTGCCTACAGGAGGCATTGAGACATACCTCTGCACTGATCACCGAGGTGATGCAACTCTTGTCTGGGCTCTGCCTGCAGGGGGCATTGTGACATATCTCTGCCCTGATCACCCAGGTGATGTAACTCTTGTCTGGGCTCTGCCTACATGGGGTATTGTGACATATCTCTGCACTGATCTCCTAGGTGATGTAACTCTTTTGTAGGGTCTGCCTACAGGTTCGTTTTGATATGTCTCTGAAGTGATCACAGAGGTGATGTAACTCTTTTCTAGGCTATGCCAACAGAGGGTATTGTAACATATCTCTGCAATGATCACACAGGTGATTTAACCCTTTTCTAGCCTCTGTCTACAGGGAAATTGTGACATATCACTGCACTGATCACCCAGGTGATGTAACTCTTCTCTAGTCTGTACTTTCAGGGGGCTTTGTGGCATACCTCTGCACTGATCTACTAGGCGATGTAACTCTTTTCTAGGCTTTTCCCAGAGGGGGCATTGTTACATTTCTCTGCACTGATCACCCAGGTAATGCAACTCTTTTCTACGCTCTACCTACAATGGCATTGTGACATGTCACTACACTGATCACACAGGTGATGGGACTCTTCTCTACGCTCTGCCTACAGGGGTCTTTGTGACATATCTCTGCACTGATCACTCAGGTGATGGAACTATTTTCTATACTCTGCCTAGAGGTGGATTCATGACATATCTCTGCACTGATAACCTAGGTGATGGAATTCTTGTCTAGCCTCTGTCTATGGGGTCATTGTGTCAAACATCTGCACTGATCACTCAGGTGATGTAACTCTTGTCTAGGCTCTGTCTACAGGGATTTTTGTGACATATCACTGCACTGATCACCTAGATGATGTAACTCTTGTCTAGGCTCTGCCTACAGAGGAATTTTGACCTATCACTGCACTGATTACCCAGGTGATGTAACTTTTGTCTAGGCTCTGCCTATAGGGGGAATACTGACATATCTCTGCACTGATCACTCAGGTGATGTAACTATTGTCTAGGCTCTGCTTAAAGGGGCCTTGTCACATACCTCTACACTGATCACCCAGGTGATGTAACTCTTGTCTAGGCTCTGCTTACCAATCTGCTCCTGAAAGAATACTGGGGAAACAATGAAATCAAGGCCGAGATAAAGATGTTCTTTGAAACCAATGAGAACAAAGACAAAACATAGCAGTATCTCTGGGACACATTCAAAGCAGTGTGTAGAGGGAAATTTAAACCACTAAATGCCCACAAGAGAAAGCAGGAAAGATCTAAAATTGACACCCTAACATCACAATTAAAAGAGCTAGAAAAGCAAGAGCAAACACATTGAAAAGCTAGCAGAAGGCAAGGAATAACTAAGATCAGAGCAGAACTGAAGGAAATAGAGACATAAAAAACCCTTAAAAAAATTAAGGAATCCAGAGATTGTTTTTTTTTTAAAAATCAACAAAATTGATAGACCGCTACCAAGACTAATAAAAAAGAAAAGAGAGAAGAATCAAATAGATGCAATAAAAAATGACAAAAGGGATATCACCACTGATCCCACAGAAATACAATCTACCATCAGAGAATACTATAAACACCTCTACGCAAATAAACTAGAAAATCTAGAAGAAATGGATAAATTCCTCGACACATACATCCTCCCAAGACTAAACCAGGAAGAAGACGAATCTCTGAATAGACCAATAACAGGAGCTGAAATTGTGGAAATAATCAATAGCTTACCAACCAAAAAGAGTCCAGGACCAGATGGAATCATAGCCGAATTCTACCAGAGGTACATAGAGAGGGTGGTACCATTCTTTCTGAAACTATTCCAAACAACAGAAAAAAGGAAATCCTCCCTAACTCATCTTATGAGGCCAGCATCATCCTGATACCAAAGCCGGGCAGAGACACAACCAAAAAAGAGAATTTTAGACCAATATCCTTGATGAACATTGATGCAAAAATCCTCAATAAACTACTGGTAAACCCAATCCAGCAGAACATCAAAAAGCTTATTCACCATGATCAAGTGAGCTTCATCCCTGGGATGCAAGGCTGGTTCAACATACACAAATCAATAAATGTAATCCAGCATATAAACAGAACCAAAGACAAAAACCACATGATTATCTCAATAGATGCAGAAAAGGCCTCTGACGAAATTCAACAACACTTCATGTTAAAAACTGTCAATAAATTAGGTATGGATGGGATGTATCTCAAAATAATACCAGCTATCTATGACAAACCCAGAGCCAATATCATACTGAATGGGAAAAAACTGGAAGCATTCCCTTTGAAAATGGGCACAAGACAGGGATGCCCTCTCTCACCACTCCTATTCAACATAGTGTTGGAAGTTCTGGCCAGGGCAATTAGGCAGGAGAAGGAAATAAAGGGTATTCGATTAGGAAAAGAGGAAGTCAGATTGTCCCTGTTTGCAGATGACATGATTGTATACCTAGAAAACCCCATTGTCTCAGCCCAAAATCTCCTCAAGCTGATAAGCAACTTCAGCAAAGTCACAGGATACAAAATCAATGTGCAAAAATCACAAGCATTCTTATACACCAATAACAGACAAACAGAGAGCCAAATCATGAGTGAACTCTCATTCACAATTGCTTCAAAGAGAGTAAAATACCTAGAAATCCAACTTACAAGGGATGTGAAGGACCTCTTCAAGGAGAACTACAAACCACTGCTCAATGAAATAAAAGAGGATACAAACAAATGGAAGAACATTCCATGCTCATTGGTAGGAAGAATCAATATCGTGAAAATGGCCATACTGCCCAAGGTAATTTATAGATTCAATGCCATCCCCATCAAGCTACCAATGACTTTCTTCGCAGAATTGGAAAAAACTACTTTCAAGTTCATATGCAACCAATAAATAGCCTTAATCTCCAAGTCAATCCTAAGCCAAAAGAACAAAGCTGGAGGCATCACGCTACCTGACTTCAAACTATACTGCAAGGCTACAGTAAGCAAAACAGTATGGTGCTGGTACCAAGACAGAGATATAGACCAATGGAACAAAACACAGCCCTCAGAAATAATGCCACATATCTACAACTATCTGATCTTTGACAAACCTGACAAAAGCAAGCAATGGGGAAAGGATTCCCTATTTAATAAATGGTGCTGGGAAAACTGGCTAGCCATATGTAGAAAGCTGAAACTGGATCCCTTCTTTACACCTCATACAAAAATTAATTCAAGATGGATTAAAGACTTACATGTTAGACCTAAAACCATAAAAAAAAAAGAAAAAAACCTAGGCAATACCATTCAGGACATAGGCTTGGGCAAGGACCTCATGTCTAAGACACCAAAAGCAATGGCAACAAAAGCCAAAATTGACAAATGGGATCTAATTAAACTAAAAAGTTTCTGCACAGCAAAAGAAACTCCCATCAGAGTGAACAGGCAACCTACAGAATGGGAGAAAATTTTTGCAACCTACTCATCTGACAAGGGGCAAATATCCAGAATCTACAATGAACTCAAACAAATTTACAAGAATAAAACAAACAAACAACCCCCTAAAAAAGTGGGCCAAGGATATGAACAGACACTTCTCAAAAGAAGACATTTATGCAGCCAAAACACACATGAAAAAATGCTCATCATCACTGGCCATCAGAGAATTGCAAATCAAAACCACAATGAGATACCATCTCACACCATTTACAATGGTGTTCATTAAAAAGTCAGGAAACAACAGGTGCTGGGGAGGATGTGGAGAAATAGGAACACTTTTACACTGTTGTTGGGACTGTAAACTACTTCAACCATTGTGGAAGTCAGTGTGGCGATTCCTTAGGGATCTAGAACTAGAAATAACATTTGACCCAGCCATCCCATTACTAGATATGTACCCAAGGGATTATAAATCATACTGCTATAAAGACACATACACACCTATGTTTATTGCGCACTATTCACAATAGCAAAGACTTGGAACCAACCTATACGTCCAACAACGATAGACTGGATTAAGAAAATCTGGCACAAATACACCATGGAATACTATATGGCGATAAAAAAGGATGAGTTCGTGTCCTTTGTAGGGACATGGATGAAGATGGAAACCATCATTCTCAGCAAACTATCGCAAGGACAAAAAACCAAACACCACATGTTCTCACTCATAGGTGGGAATTGAACTATGAGAACACATGGACACAGGAAGGGGAACATCACACACTGGGGACTGTTGTGGGGTGGGGGTAGAGGGGAGGGATAGCATTAGGAGATATGCCTAATGCTAAATGACGAGTTAAAGGGAGCAGCACACCAACATGGCACATGTATACATATGTAACAAACCTGCACGTTGTACAGATGTACCCTAAAACTTAAAGTATAATAATAATAAAATTAAAAAAAAAGAAACTGTGTGAACAAGGAATTCTTTGTCACATCTGTGCTTTGGTCAGTAATAGACCAGCAAGCAATTCATTCAGTCATTGTGGGTGTGGATCCAGGAGGACTTCCTGCGTCCATGGAAGGGATCATCCCTGCAGGCATCCCATTGACTCACAACCTCCCGACAGTGGCACATACTTCCCAAGCGCCCTCTCCCAACCAGCCCACAATCACGGGGACAATCGAGAGCACCCCAACGAGAAATAGTAGAGAATGCCGGAAGGTAATCATTTTGATACACTTGGGAACAAGGACAGTGAAAAATAGATGTACTAAGAGAAAAAGAATCTGACGCTCTTTTTAGCTGATTCTGGACATATGCATCATTGATGTTGCAGTGTAAAAACTACAAGAGTTAGAAAGCTGAAGATGTCGTCTGTTTACGGAAGCTCTGAAAGACTAGGGTGTGATTTATTAACGACCAGCTTCCGTTATTGTGTGTTAAGTTTTTGATATGTGCGTCAATTCACAAAGAATAAATAGTCCTTTTTCCTTTATCAGTACCTGGGGCACAGCAGGTCAGTAACACCCTGCTCAGAATGTTGCATCAAGACTTCAAACATCAAAATAAAAGCCATGAGGAGGAAATCCCCATTTTGTCACTTGAGTCCCTTCAGTCTACAGGGACTGGTTACAGCTTTTTGCTAAAAGGAAGATCACATTACTAGAAAATGTGGAGTAAACTGTTTGCCTGTGGTAGACACCTGCACGCGTAGGATTGAAGACAGTACCGGCTCCTGTACAGAGAAGCGTCTCTCACATCTGAACTGCATGCTGAGTGGGCAAGTTGGTTGTAAGTTCAGTAAAAGCCTCCGATAATGCAAAAAAAAAACAGTATTAAGTTTCACAAGCTGTTTGTAATCAAAAATATTTTCTCAGTTTCAGATGCTCTGCTATTTTATTGAGTGGAAAGTCTTGCACTAAAAAGATTCAAGAAAAATAACGTTGCTTTTCCTTATGTCACAGGAAACACTTTTAATGGTAACTTGTCAGATTGTCTATGAACAAATGCACTTTTTAAGACACTGATGAAGTCTTCTTTTATTCACATTGTATTTTATACAAGAACACTTCAGATGTATTGGATGTGACTGATTTTAACAAATCCTATTTGATTTGCATCGATTGGTTACATGTTCTGTTCATAGTCTTTTGTGAATCATTGCCTTTTTGTTTAAAAAGATGGCCTATTTTGATCTTTTGATTAGGTACATTCCTGTTTTTGTGACAAAAGAAAAACTTTAAAATTGTCACAAACAGAAAAATAATGGCTATCAGAAGTATACTTTGTTTTAGTGCGAGTTACCGTTACTGTAGTTGTTTATTGTAAAGATGGACATTTAGCATTCAGTGCAGTTTTCAATAAAATGTAATTAGGAAAAAACTGCTTAATTAACAAAAACAGAGCATAGACAACAAAATAATATTAGAAGTGATACATAAAGAAAACGAGATATCAACAAAATGATTTTTAGAAACCAACAAAAACTGTGTATCTGAATAACACGATAACTATATTAAAATTTCAATCAACGGTCACAAAAGCAGACTAATAAAGCAGAAAAAATCATACAACTGATGTCACTGTAGTTATAAATACTGAGTCATGAAAACAAATTATTTAAACAGAATAGAGAAAAAAATATGGGACGTACTGCACACCATCAAGTAGACCATCGTATTTATAAAAGGAGTCTTAGAAAAACAATACAGCAGAAAAGTAATAAAGAGATTATTTTTAAAAAGTAGCTGAGAAATCCCCAGATGACAAGGTAATTAAACAAGAAGATATACTGCCAAACAAAAACCTTCAACTGGAATAATTTCACTTCAGAAATAAAAAAAATAAGCCTTTCCAAAATAAATAAAAGTGGAGTGTGTTACTAACCACTAGATCAATCCTAAAGGAAATGTAAAACAAAGTCTATCAAGTCCAAAAATGAAATGATGCTGCACAGCATCATAACAGCATATGAAAATAGAAAGTGCTATATTAAAGGTAAATATATAAACAGGTATAGAAATCTCTATCTACTGTCATAATGATGGTGCACAAAATTTTCAAAATATTGCTATGGAGTTTAAAAAATGAAGCACAAATCTGCATAAATGTGTGTTCATAGATACTCAATAACAGATAATATGTGATATTAATAACACAGTGGGGGTATGAAAAGGTACAACTTTGCGTTCAGTTGAAATATGGTTGTTATATATTGTCATAACTGTAAGATGATTTATGAAGTCTTTATTTCTCAAGATGATTACCAAAAAAACCTGTAGACCTCTGGTCATCCTCCCACTGCTACACTCCCACTAGCGCCACCACAGTTTACAAATGTCATGGCAATATCAGAAATTTACCCTACATGGTCTTAAGAAAAAAAAAAGGAGGCACGAATAATCCACCCCTTGTTTAGGATATTATCTAGAAATAACCATAAGAATGGGTAACCAGCAGCCCTCGGGCTGCTCTGTCTATAGAGTAGCCGTTCTTTTATTCTTCTACTTTCTTAATAAACTTGCTATCACTTTACTCTATGGACTCACCCTGAATTCTTTCTTGCACCAGATCCAATAACCCTCTCTTGGAGTCTAGATCAGGATTCCTTTCCTATAACAGAAGGATGGGAAACAACTGGAACCTTCATCAACAGCTGGCAGAGTGTAAACTGATACAGCCACTGCAAAATTTTTAGCAGTATCTCCTAAAACTGTACGTACACTCTATAAAGCACTTGCACTCCCAGATACAGATCAAATTAAAGTACACACGTGTGCACCAAAAGTACAAGAAATTTCAGGGCCGGACACAGTGGCTCATGCCTGTAATTCCAGCACTTTGGGAGGCCGAGGCAGGCAGATCACCTGAGGTCAGGAGTTCGAGACCAGCCCGGCCAATATGGCAATACCCCGTCTCTACTAAAAAAAAATTAGCCAGACGTGGTGGTGGGCACTGTAATCCCAGCTTCTTGGGAGGCTCAGGCAGGGAGAATTGCTTGAACCCAGGAGGTGGAGGTTGCAGTGAGCTGAGATTGTGCTATTGCACTCCAGCCTGGGCGACAAGAGCAAGACTCTATCTCCAAAAAAAAAAAAAGAAAGAAAGAAAGAAAGTTTATAATGGCATTACTCATAATGGACCCAAGCTTGGAAGAACCTAATGTCAGCCAAGAGCAGAACAGATAAACATATTGTGCAATATTAGTAAAGCTGAATGCACACAACAATAAACAAACCACAGCCATGTGCAACACCATGGATAGAGCTCACAAGCCTAAAGCTGAGAAAAGAAGCCAAAAGAAAAGATCCCATTTATAAAGCGAATAATAGGAAAACTAATCTATAGTGTAAAAAGTCAGAATAGGAGATAACTTTTGCTTGAGCCCAGTAGATTGAGCTGGGTGTGGCATGTGTGCCTCCTGTCCCAGCTACTCAGGAGGCTAAGGTGGGAGGATCGCTTGAGCCAGGGAGATTGAGAATGCAGTGATCCCTGATCATGTCACTGTGCTCCAGCCTGGGCAACAGAGTGAGACCCTGTCTCAAAACAACAACAGAAAGATATACTGACCATCTGTGATGCTGGCCAGGATGGCGTATGCATGCTACGGCATGTCGTTTCCACTGATCACAATTTGAAACTCTGGACAAAATATAAATAGCAATGACCCAAGTACTCTGAAAAGTAACCAGCAGACAGGTTGGGAAATGTCAAAACCTGAAGAATTATCTGGATGGCGGTGGTGAGAGATCATATTCTGGGTCATAAAACAAACCCTAAAGTTAAACAATTAAAATTCAGTGAATTATTTTCTCTGATGACAGAATTAAACTGGGAATCTAGAACATTTCTAGAACATCCCCTAATATGAGAAGTTAAATGGCGTACTTCTAAATGGCCCATAGGTCAAAGAGAGTAACTTAAGACAAATTGGAAAACAGTTTGAACTTAATAAATATGACATCATCTTATCAAAATATGTGCTTACAGGGCAATTTATTTACTTCAAGTAAAAAAAGAACCAAATAAACTCAAATCAGGCATAAGGAAAACAGACTAAATCAGTAATATTTAAACAAAAACAGTAAAGGAAAAAAATTCAACGAAATCCAAAGTTGGTTCTTTGCAGGGGTGGTGGGAGGTGGAAATCAATCAAATGAGGAAGCCTCTAGCAGACTGACAAAGGAAGAAGAGAAAACACAAATTGCCAATACCAGAAATGAAAGGAATATTATTACAAATCCTGTAGACACTAGAAGGCTATAATGGATACTACAAAAACAAAACAAACAAGTATGTGCTTCTAAATTCTACAAATTAGGTGAAATAGATCAATTCCTTGAAAGACAGACTACCAAAACTCAAGAAGAAACAGACAGCTTGAATACCCCTGTATTTATTAAAGAAACAGAAGTGGCACAGCACTTTGGAAGACAATTTGGCAGGTTCTGATAAAGTCAAACGTACATGTGACTCGGCAATCCTACCCTTAGGCATTTGCACAAGTGAAATGAAAACCTATGCTCAGACAAAAAGCACTTTGTGAATTCCAATCCACTTATAGTTTACCAAAAAGTGAAAATAGTCCATATTCCTCCAATGACAAACCAATAAGCAAACCATGTAGTATTTATACAATGGATTACTATTTGGCAATAATAAGGAATAACTGTTGATAAAGTACATGAAAGTAGCCAGACTCAAAAGGCTACATACTGAACGATTCCATTTGTATAAAATTCTGAAAAAAAGCAATGCTAGAGGAACACAGATCAGTGATTGCCAGAATTTACAATGGAAGGCTTTACTATAAAGGGCAAGGTAATTTTTGGAGTGATCATATAATTTTGTAATCTACCAAAAACAAACATAATAAATGGGCAGATAAGTAAAGTTCACGGATTGGAAAGTTCAATATTGCAAAAGTCTCCCAAAAATGACCTATCAATTTAATCCCAGTGGAAATTCCAATCAGTTTTGTGAAGGCTGCTAAGTCAACTCTAAAATGGCCAAGAATAGACAAGATCACCGGAGAGGAAGCAGGGAGGTGGACACTAGTATCTTCTGATTGATGAGTGAAATCATTAGAAGGCCAGCAAAAATACAAGTAAGCCAGAATTTCTAAAGCACCACAAAAGAACACTAGTTAGTACCGCATATAGGTATCTCCCAAATTTGTTGTAAACATAGGCCTTTAAAAAATATTAGAAACTGATATTTAAAGAGATATAAACTCATATTAAGCTTTTAAAAAATTCTAAGCAAGGGCCTCGCCTAATTTCATAAAAGGTTGTGTAGAACCAACCATTCCTTCAAACGATGTGCTGCCCTGAGATGTGAGGATCCCAGTGGTCCCTCTGGGTCAACAGCAGCTACCGCGGCTGAGCCCAAACTCTGAAACATTATCTATCTACAATCATTATTTTTAACAATTTATATCAATGCTACCCGTAAGGCACAGAGAAGCAGAAAAGTTTATGTGGCCTCCTGCCAAAAACAATCACTTGCACTTATTTCTAGGTCTACTACAGAAGACAGTATTAGAAGTTTTTCAATTTAGAAAAATATTTACAGCAAAGAAAAAAATCTGTAAATTTCCCGCTTAACCAATCTAGTGAATTATGATGAGCTATATTAATTCATTTAGCCACCTTATGAAAGACTTAATCCAAAGTCACTTCTAACTTCTAGAAGAGCTAATGTATTATAATAACAGTTGTGAAAGACTCAAAGGCCAGAAATGTCAAGGTGTGGTCTATATCCTAAGTCCAGAAAAAAAACAAAAAGCCACATGTACAGGCCAAATGATTGCCAATTTCTTCTGCCTATGTCATCTTTCTTCACTATAGCCTGAAATTACATTTCATGTTTGACAATTCTCAGCAAGGAGACAAAACAAGCTTATGAGTAAAATAATAGAAAGCAGAGCCACAGAGAGTATGAGAGGCAGGAGTCATCTCCCAAGTCCAAGTTCAACTTCTATATTATTAGACAGGGCCTCAGTGTCTTTGAACTGCAAGGAATTAATATTGATTGTAGCATGAGTAAAACCTATCTTCTACTCATCATGAAAAGTCACAGTCGTTTTGTTTAAAGACTCCAGAATTATTATAGGCAGAAACAAGAAAGTTACACACCTATTTGGTGAAACGAGGAATCAGGAATTCCCAAGAGAATACAATTACAAAAGTAAAATCACCTAGAGTTTTTGGGCTGATTAAAAAACCCAGAAAGAAGTGCCAAATGAGAAAATAATCAAATTCAGTGGAAAAACTCCCTTGAAAGTATCATGGTCAGCTGGGTTTCCACCCCTTTGTTGCACTTCAAATCCTGTCTATTCCACAAAGACTTGCTCCTTTCTAAAGGCTATGGTTGACGTTCAACAGAATAGCAGCAACCACCATGAGCCTGAGGGCTGGCTAGTCTTTAGTATTCTGCCTTATTCAAAGAAACGATCATTTCCCTCATTCCTAAAAATCTCCCAGGTCCATTACAAAAAAAGAAGCAGCAGCCAGGCGCAGTGGCTCACACCTGTAATCCCAGAACTTTGAGAGGCCAAGGGGGGAGGATCACCTGAGGTCGAGAGTTCAAGACCAGCCTGGCCAACATGGTGAAACCCCGACTCTACTAAAAATACAAAAATCAGCGGGGTGTGGTGGTGTGTGCCTGTAATCCCAGCTACTAGGGAGGCTGAGGCAGGAGAATTGCTTGAACTCGGGAAGTGGACGTTGCAGGGAGCCAAGATCATGCCACTGCACTCCAGCCTGTGGGACAGAGCAAGACCCTGTCTCAAAAAAAAAATTCTTACCTCCTGGAAGTATTTTACTAGTGTTGGTTTCTATTTGACATTAAACACTTCGCCAGGCCAGTGCATTAGCTGTTAGCTCCTTACTGAATATTATCTGCAGCAAACAGTAGCTGACTCCTAGCTCTCTTCAGTGAACTTGAATTTAAATTTATAGAATTCTCATGACTTCTATTTCATCTTGAAACCCAGAGACTCCTTCCCTTTCCTAGTGATTTACCTTTCAATTATAGGTAGACTGAACCAGTCCCAGCCGTCCTTAGTTGGTCTCTATTCAAACACTGTACTTTTGTTTCTTGATTACATCTTCAATTATTTTAGTTATTTCTGAGATTCTCCCCTGTAATTTCTCCAACTATCTAGGGCATAAAAAGTGCATGAATACCATTATGAAGGCTGTGAGACTTCAAATAAGTGAGTAGCCTTTCTGAGCCTCAGGTTTCTCCTCTGTAAACCAGGAATAATTTTTACTGAACAAAGTTGTTCTAAGGATTAGTGAAATGTATGTAAAGCACTTAGCATTTAATAGGTGATCAAATGGTAAATGGTGCTTATAAAATGTCTTTATCATGGTAAAGTATATATAACAATATACATATATATACATATAAATGTATATATATATGTATATGTGTGTGTGTGTATATATATATATATATATATATATATATATATATATATATATATATATATATATTGAGATAGAGGCTTGCTCTGTCACCAGACTGGAGTGCAGTAGTGGCGCGGTCTCGGCTTACTGCAAACTCTGCCTCCTAGGTTCAAGGATTCTCCTGCCTCAGCCTCCTAAGTAGCTGGGATTACAGGCACCTGCCGCCACACTTAGTTAATTTTTGTATTTTTAGTAGAGACGGGGTTTCACCATGTTGGCCAGGATGGTCTCTATCTCTTGACCTTGTGATCTGCCTGCTTCAGCCTCCCAAAGTGCTGGGATTACAGGTGTGAGCCACCGTGCCCAGCCCGATTTTAACCAGTCTTAAGTGTGCAGTTATCGGCATTAAGTGCATTCATGTTGTTGTACAACCATCACCACCATCCATCTCCAGAACATTCTTATCATCCCGAAGTGAAACTCTGCACCCAGTAAGCAATAAGCCCTCATTCCTCTCTACCCCAGCCTCTGGCAACCACCAAACTACCTTTTTTTTTTTTTGCTTTTTTCTGACAGGGTCTTACTCTGTCGCCCAGGTTGGAGTACAGTGGCATGATCATAGTTCACTGAAAGCTTGAACTCCCAGATTCAAGTGATCCAACCCACTTCAGCCTCCCCAGTAGTTGGGACTATAGGTATGTTCCACCACACCTGACTTTTCTTTTTAAAGTAGAGATGAGGTCTCACTATGTTGTCTAGCCTGGTCTTGAATTCTTGGGCTGAAGTGATCCTCCCGCCTTATCCTTCCAAGATGTTGGGATTATAGGAATGAGCCACTGAGCCTGACTATCATTCTACTTTGTTTCTATGAATTTTACTGATCTAGGTATCTCATATAAGTGGAATCATATATAAGGGAGGAAAAATATTTTTCCTCCACCTTTCTAATTTCTTGGCTGGGGCTCTTGTACCAAAAGACAGATTAACAAGAGAAAAGCATACACATTTACTTAACATAAGTTTTATATGACACAGAAAAAATGGACTTTTCTGGAAGTAACTTGATATAACTAGGAGCCTTTGTAAGGAAATAAAGACCTGAAGAAACAGTTAAACCTATGTCTTTTTATATTAGGTTTGTCAAAAGACTAAATTACAACAAATTAGGTTTTATATTAAGTTTATCAGAGGACTACAACAAATTTATAGATTTAATTGGCTTTTATTCATGATTCATGAATCTGGGCACCTTTCACTCTACAAAACAGAATGAGAGTTCCCACTGGGCAATAGCAGAACCACAGGTTTTATGAGGTAGCAACAAGGAAACAGAATAGAAAAACCTGATTGGTTAACATCAAGCTTCTTCAGTTACTTTTTTGTAATGGTTAAAGCAGAGGGGACTTCCTTCTTCCACTGATTCAAGTAGACTGGAATCTCATGTTTTCAAGAAAAACTGGTCTGTTTGGGGATCTGCTTCCTTAAAGTTTCAGTTTGATGACACAGCATTTAGCATAAGTAATTCAATTTTGGTTTGGTCTGATCTGTTGAAGGCTAGTGCAGGAGCCCAGCCCAAAAGAATGGCCTCCCATCATTTTTAACAGTTTGATAAAAAGTGGAGAGAAGCAGAAAATTGCAAGAGGAAAAAAAGGGGTAGGAGCTACGTGTAGTAAACTGGGAGGAACAGCAGGACCTATCATTCAGATTCCTCTCAGCGTCATCTTCAGAGAGAAGGATGCTCCTTCCTCCAGGGACAGGGACGGCATCTCTCACCCAAGGGCCTTGTGGCCTACATCAGAGAAGAGGGTGGGAAGGTCAGAGTGTCCTTCCTATCATTTCTGAGATTCCTTCAGCTTCAAACATTCAATAAGCTAAGGTGGCTATTTTGGAGATTATCAAGAAGCTGATCACATAAAATACTTGTTCTTTGGTGACTGGTTTATTTCACGTGGCATAATGTCTTCCATGTTCATCCATGGTGTAGCATGTGTCAGAATTGCCTTTCTCTGTAAGCCTGAATAGTATTCTACTGCATATAGTGTGTATAAACCATATTTTGTTTATTCATTTGCAGATAGACATTTGGCTTGCTTCCACCTTTTGGCTATTATGGATAATGCAACGGTATATTTTAACTACAGATCTTTTTACACCAAATAGACATAAACAATCAAAAGAATTTATCCTAGGCCCACAGAGAAGGCAGATGGGGTCCCTGATCGATTACAGGGGTTCTCTTTTTAAAATGACTTCTTCATAAGCTTATGTGAGGGGAATACTGACAGTACCTACTTTTTATAGATGGAAATTCTATTTAAGAGCTCTCATGTCTGGGTGTGGTGGTTCATGCCTGTAATCCCAGCACTTTGTGAGGCCAAGGCAGGCAGATCACGAGGTCAAGAGATCGAGATCATCCTGGCCAACATGGTAAAACCCATCTCTACCAAAAATGCAAAAATTAGCTGGGCATGGTGGCATGCACCTCTAGTCCCAGCTACTTGGGAGGCTGAGGCAGGAGAATCACTTGAAGCCAGGAGGCAGAGGTTGCAGTGACCTGAGATTGCACCACTACTGCACTCCAGCTTGGTGACAGAGCAAGACTCCGTCTAAAAAGAAAAAAAAAAATTCTCATTACTTTCTCATATTACACAGAGGAGCTAAAGATGACAATTAACTAAACTGAAGAAAGACAAACTGCTAATCTCAAGCAGTTATTACAAACTGTCAAGTTAATATAGATAGCAATCTGCAGTTTGAAAATGCCAATCACTACAAATCACAGGGAAAACATCTGTGCTTCAGTGGAAACACTACACATTGTTTAGATCACACTCCTTCAGTTTTTTGAGATAGGATCTCCCTCCGTCACCCAGACTGGAATGCAAGGGTATGATCCTAGCTCACAGCAACCTCCACTTCCCTGGCTCAAGGGATTCTCCCACCTCAGCCTCCTGAGTAGCTGGGACTACAGGCTCATGCCATCATGCCCAGCTAATTTTTGGAACTTTTTTTTGTAGAGAGAGGGTCTATGTTGCTCAGGCTGGTCTCGAACTCCTGGGGTCAAGTGATCTGTCTACCTCAACCTCCCAAAGTGCTGGGATAACAGGCGTGAGCCACTGCACCCAGCCCCTTTAAGGTTTTCTAGTCTAGCCTTTCACCTGTTTTATGGTATGTGAAGTTGAAAAGAACTGATAATGCAAATGACTCTTGTTTATAAACATGCAAATCAACCCGCCTTGGAAAGCCAATCCTTCTCCATGTGGCAAAGCCACTTATGCATCAATTTCCAGTTTATTTCAATATTCTGAGTAATAGATGTGTCCATCCCTTTGGATTCCCTTTTGAACTGCTTGTAACATCTCACTGCTCACTTCATTAATAAAATATTTAACATTTATATCTATATGAGTGATAGTTTTTCCTGTTTTTGAAAAGTTACCCTTTAACAAATATAACATGCACAGGTGAGATAATGCCATGCTTCTCCTTCTCAAAGTATGGCCTGCGGAAGGAGCAGCCTGGTGCTCCCTCACAGTATTTTTAACAGAAACGCAGAACACTGGGCCCCACCTCAGGAGTGTGGAGTTGTAGCCGGATCCCTTTCACTGACACATTAAAGTTAGAGCCACCCTAGGTTAATACACATCACTGACTGGCCTCAAGGAATAGGAGTGTTGGATCTATCAGTCTCTCCCAACCATTACCTTGGCTTTGCCAAGTGCTTTCTGCCTGCCAAGCTCACTCTTAGATCAGATGGGGCCTCCCTGCCAGCAGTTCTACGTCATCCCCTCCGCACCTAAGTCAACTCCGGAGTTCACAGACCTCACTTCTGATCTCCACCGCCCCTCCTCCCCTTCTACGGTGACTCAAAACTTCAGGCAGTGAAAATAAGGAGACTCACAAACTAGGAGACTACAGCTTCAGACCACACATTTTCCACTGAGCCAATACCTGAGCAAAAACTAGTTTTCTGGAGTTGGGGGGATGAGGAAGATTTGATATTGAAAGTGTCCTTGGTGGCCTTTCAAAGCTCAACATCATCTAACAAAAATTTTATTCCTTTTTCATTCTGTTAGGGAATGTTTAGTTTTTCCTCTTTGATAATGAAAATTTGGTTAACAAACATTGCTTTGGACCAATCTTCCTTTTCACAAATCACTGAGGTGTGTCTATCCACAAGTTCTCAGTCCAGCCTACATTTTCCAGTCTTCCATTTACCTATTCAACTAATACCTGAGTGCCTGGCATGTGTCCGCCCTGCGAACATGCTGGTGACAGTGTGAGCAGGCAGGGCTGGTTCCTGTACTCATGAAGCTTACACTACCTGAGGCTGGGGTGTAGAAATCGACACATTAAAAAGGCCACTGAGACTTTTAAAAAAATATATATATATATAAGGCATACAAAAATGCTGAGCTAGAGCTTTGGAAAATGAAGAAAAAGTAATACAAATTTAAAATGTGACATCGAGGAATGAAGACCATCACTTAACATATCCTATGTTTAAAAAATCTAATGTCCATAGGAAGTTGTCTGGGAGGTGGGCAGGGTTTCATACTGTAATAAGTATTTAGAAAGTTTAGAAGAGTTCTAATGGTTCTTAATTTAAGAATTATAAGAGGTAGATTCAGGTAGAGAGAGATTCCCATGATATTCACTGCTGGGTGGAGAAGGAGATCCATCCCCCTCCACTCACAAACATCCTCTTTGTGTTTTTACTCGACAGTCCTTCATTTAGCTGATCCATCTGTATTTATATTTGTTCTCTTCCGGATCTTGTTTCATAGTCAATATCAAGTGTTTTTGTGTAAACTGCCTGGTCTTGACAGGCCAGGCACGAAGGTAGCCACCATTCACACAGCATTGCATTTAATCTTCACAAGACCCCTGCAAGGTAGGTCTCAGCCTCCCTTGATACAGGTGAAGCAGGAGGCTCAGGGCTGCTACAACTTGCCCCCAGTCCCAGAGCTGGTACACAGCAACCCAGATTGATGGATTCCAATACCCATCCATGCTGCCTTGCTTAACCATGTTCCTGGTGCCAAAATTTTGTAAATTAACCCGAGTTTATCTAAAATTAACTCAAAGTTAACATACGCTATTTGGAAGTAGTGGTGGCAGTGACTTATCAGAGAACTTTTAAGAGAAACAGCTGTGGCAAACGAGCCTGACTCACACTGAAGTTATCTGCAATCAAGTTGCCAACTGACAACTGATTAGTGAATGAAGCTGAGCGCCAGGACTCACGACAGCTGTCTGTTTCATAAACACGCCCTCGTTCCTCCTTTTGGCCGACTACTAAAGGGTTTAGGTGTCACACAGCATTTAGATGTTATGCAGAATGAGCAACAAGCAAAATGTAGGTGTAATCAGATAAGAGTGGAGAATTACCAGTATCTTTACAATCACCTGTTGGGCATTTCTGTTGATAATCACCAATTCAGAACAGCAAGGACTGAGAAGCCACAAGATTCCCTTAAAAGGCCTCATCCACTTGCATACTTTTGTTTTCAGGAAACAAAAATTATGTTATGTGGGCTCACAGTCAACAGATTTTTGTTCCAATTTGTATTTCCATGATACATAATTAAGATTTGTGGTTTGAGGTTGAAAGAATTCTGAATGTGTATGCTAACACTGACTCACATTAAAGCTAAGCACTAGGCTGGACACGATGGCTTACGCCTGTAATCCCAACACTTTGGGAGGCCGAGGCGGACGGATCACTTGAGGTCAGGAGTTCGAGATATGCCTGGCCAACATGGTGAAAGCCCGTCTCCACTAAAAACACAATTAGCTGGGCGTGGTGGTGGGCACCTGTAATCCCAGCTACTCGGGAGGCTGAGGCATGAGAATTGCTTGAACCCAGCAGGTGGAGGTTGCAGTGAGCCAAGATTGGGTCACTGCACTCCAGCCTGGACAACAGAGCTAACAAGACTGTCTCAAAAAATAAAATAAAAACAAAGCTAAGCACTATATATTAAGTAGAAGATTGAATATTTTAACCAAGGGTGTAAATTATTAACCAGGATATTTAAAAAGCAATGAATTGAAGTTGCTGACATTTTTAAGAGAGCTGTTTCTTTCCCTAAAGTTTTAATATCAAACACACACACACACACACACACACACACACACACACACACATACTTGGGTGGTGCCAATAAAAAGGAAACAAAAATAAAATGGAGAAATGGAGGTAATGATGACCCCAAGCTAAAGGAAGAGGAGGAGGGGGGTAGATATATGTTATTTTCGTTCCTTCCTATTTCACTCTTCACTGGAAAAGCACTTGAGTTACAGTTTGTGATTCTGTTAGTCCTTCAATATGGTAAAACAAAGAGGTTTATCTCATGTGCAAATAATCAATGAGGAGTGGCTGCCTCCAAGAGCCTGGGTAATAATGACCTTAGTGGGAAGGATCTGAATCAGCTGCCAGGGCCACACACGTGCTGTGTGTTTGTTGATCCCGCCTTATGTCAACCAGTCAACATCAAAAATGATCAGGGCATTGCTAGGCAACTGCTTCTTCAGTCTTCACTAGTCAATTATTGTGAATAGGATGTTTTGTTTTCCTAAATGGAACTTGATAGATGGATAGAATGGATTCTACATCGCATATTTTTCCCCTCTATCAAGCAGAGATGCCGTTGAGTATATCATCGCCTCCTTCTGTGAAGTGAGCCCGCCCTATGTAAGGTTAACAGGAAGGACGCAAAGGTATGCAGTGTAGAAAAAAATAGAAATAAGGACCCAGGCATAACTCTGAAGGAGCTTCTAACCATGTTGTGCAGATGAGGAAGACTCAATAATTAGTAAGTTATCCAAAGAAATTAGGGCTTTTTACTAGCAGAACAGTAAAAATTCTAAGTTTGGTAACACATGGAGTTGAGGAGGCTGTGGGAAAGAGGCATTCACTCATATTGCTGCTAGAAGTATAAACTGGTATAACCTGTCTAGAGGAGAGTGATTTAACAATTATCAAAACTAACTACCTAGTCCACATCTAGACATTTATTCTGCAGATATACTTTCCCAAATGCAAAATGTCAGATACACATTGTTTCTTGCAGCTTTGCTTATAATTATAAAAATAGCTCTTCTAAGTTTCCTATTGCTGCTATAATCAGTTACCACAAATGTAGCAGCTTAAAACAACAGAAACTTATCTTATTATGAGCCTGGAGGTCAGAAGTCTGAAACGCGTCTTGCGGAGCTAAAATCAAAGGCTGGTTCCATCTGGAGGCTCCAGGGGAGAGTCCGTTTCCATGCCTCTTCCTTCTGTTGACGGCTTTCCACATACCTTGGCTTTTGATCGTGTATCACTGCAATCACCACTTCCATCTTCGTATCGCCTGAGTCTGACACTTCTTCCCGCTTATAAGGAAGCTTGTGATTGATTCCATTGTGCCCACCTGGATGATACACGCTCCTCTGCCCATCTCACAATCCTTACTCCCAAGACCCCTTTGGCTATGTAAAGTAATATATTCCTAGATTCAGGGATTTGAATGTGGACATCTTTTTTTTTTTTTTGGAAAGACAGAGTCTCACTGTGTCACCCAGGCTGGAGTGCAGTGGTGCAATCTCGGTTCACTACAACCTCTGCCTCCTGGGTTCAAGTAATTCTCCTGCCTTAGCCTCACAAGTAGCTGGGACTACAGGCGCATGCCACCATACCCGGCTAATTTTTTGTGTTTTTAGTACAGATGTGGTTTCACTGTGTTAGCCAGGATGGTCTCAATTTCCTAACTTCATGATGCGCCCGCCTCGGCCTCCCAAAGTGCTGGGATTACAGGCATGAGCCACCGTGCCCGGCCTGTGGACATCTTTTATTCAGCCTATCACAATAGCAAACGTCTGGAAACAAACTGGATGTCCATCAGCAGGGGACTGATTCAATAAATTATGATAAATTCATACAACAGAATACAGTTGTTTAAAATATGAGAAAATGTATTATGTACTAAACAGAAAACTCACCAAAATATAATGTTAGGTGAAAAAAGCAAAGTACAGAACAGACACAGGAATACAGTATACATAATTTGCTTGTATATATGAGGTTTAAACTATCTCTGGAATGATATACCAGAAATTAATCATGGTGGTTACCTGTAGGACAGGAAGAGGGTGCTGGCATTGCAAGAATGAGACTTTTCACTAACACTCTTTCATAATTTTTATCTTAGAAACTTGTAACTATATTACTTATCCAAAAAGTAAAATAATAAAGTCTAGAAAGAGTAAAAACAAAACAAAGTGTAAAAAAAGTTATAGATGGGGGGATAAGTACCCATTGTAGGACTCTTTATGCTAGAGCTGTACAATTTTTAAAAATGAGAAGTATGTATATTTTACCAGGAATCCCAGCATATATGATCAAGTGACTGAAAACTATGAGCAAAATAAAAAACAGAAAAAAGAAACAAACCCACAAGTGCTTCAGGTATTAGAATTATCAGACATGAACTTTAAAGTCATTGGTAATATTATCAAACCTAGGTTTAAATAAGTAGTAGTTTTTTTTTATCTTGGTGCTAGTTACAGAGGTTTATTTACATTGTGATAATTCATCCACCTGTACATTTAAGATGGCACACTTTCTCTCAGGTATATTATACTTCAATAAAATTTTACAAAAGTAGAAAACTTGTGGGATTTGACTAAATCTGGGGTGGGGGGAATCTATAAACCTAAACACATGTATTTGAAAACAAAACAAAAAAAGTACTGAAAAACTGTTATGATAGGTGTGGTGGCTCACATGTATAATCCCAACATTTTGGAAGGCCAAGGCAGGAAGTTTGCTTGAGGCCAGAACTTCAATACCAGCCCAGGCAACATAGTGAGACCTGTCACAGCAAAAAAAAAAAAAAAAAAAAAAAAAAAAAAAAAAAAAAATTAATTGGGAATGGTGACACACACCTGTAGTCCCAGCTACTTGGAAGGCTGAGGAGGGAGGATTGGATCACTTGAGCTCAGTAATTTAAGGCTGCTATGAGCTATGATTCATCACTGCACTATAGCCTGAGTGACACAGTAAGACCCTGTCTCAAAAAAAAGAAAAAGAAAAAGAAAAAAACTCCAATGATCTAAGCATCCATCTCAAAAATCCCAGCAAATTAAGCTGAATGAAATTAAAATGATGGAAATAATAAGGATAAAAGCTGAAATCAATGAAAAAAAAAACCAAAGACATAATAGAGAAAATATAAAAAGCCAAAGCTGTTTCTTTGAAAACAGTATTCCAGTTGCTAATCTCTGTGGCAGCCAGCCTCCAAAATGGCCCGCGGTGATTTTCACTTCTGCTATCCATGCCTTGTGCAGTTCTCTCTCATATTGAATATGGCTGACCTGTGTTATCAAAAAGCTAGTTCAAATTTCCTAGGCTAGATTATAAAACACATGGCAGCTTCCACCTTGCTCACCCTGGGTGAAAGTAGCTACCATACTGCAAGGACATTCAAGCAACCCTACAGAGCTTAATGCATTACATTACAGAGGTCTCCTGCTAACAGACAGCATTGACTTGCTAGCCATGTTAAGTGAGACATCTTGAAATTGGATGCCCTAGCCTCAGTCAAGCCTTCGGATGACTGCAGGCCTAATCAACATATTGACCAAGACAGAACCAACCAGCTAAAGCATTTCTCAAATCAGGACCCACAGAAGCTCTATATTAGTTTGCTATTTTTGTATAACAAATGAACATCTCATGAAACATACATATATTGTCTAGTATATTTTCTCTTATACAGTTTCTGTGGGTCAGGATTTCATTTAAGAAAATACATGTTTATTCTTTTTTAAGTGGTTTTTTTACTTCCTTTTTTTTAAATTTATTTTTTATTTCAATAGGTTTTTGGGGAACAGATGGTGTTTGGTTACATGAATATCTTCTTTAGTGGTGATTTCTGAGATTTTAGTGCACCCATCACTCGAGCAGGGTACACTGTACCCAATGTGTAGTCTTTTCTCCCTCATCCCCCTCCCACCCTTTCCCCTGGGTCCCCAGAATCAATTGTATCATTCTTATGCCTTTGCATCTTCATAGCTTTGCTCCCACCTATGAGTGAGAACATATGATATTTGGTTTTCCATTCCCGAGTTACTTCACATAGAACAAGTCTCCAATTCCATCCAGATTGCTGCAAATGCCATTATTTTGTTCCTTTTTATGGCTGAGTAGTATTCCATGCTACACATATACCACATTTTCTTTATCCATTTGTTCACTGATGGGCATTTGAACTGATTCCATATATTTTCAGTTGCAGATTGTGCTGCTATAAACATATGAGAAAAGGCCAGTCACCATGGCTCATACCTGTAATCCCAGATCTTTGGGAGGCCGAGGCAGACAGATCACCTGAGGGTCAGGAGTTCGAGACCAGCCTGACCAACATGCAGAAACCTTATCTCTACTAAAAATACAAAATTAGCTGGGTGTGGTGGCACATGCCTATAATCTCAGCTAACTGGGAGGCTGAGGCAGGAGAATCGCTTGAACCAGGGAAGTAGAGGTTGTGGTGAGCTGAGAGCGCATCACTGCACTCCAGCCTGGGAAACAAGAGTGAAACTGTCTCAAAAAAAAGGGAGGAAAAAACATATTTATTCTCTCGTATTTTCTGTGGGTCAGGAATTTGGGCACAACTCAACTGGGTTCACTGCATAGGGTCTCACAAGGTTGCAGGCAAGGCGTCAGCTGAGCTAGGTTCAAGCTCATTCAGGTTGTTGACAAAATTCATTTCCTTATGTCTGTATGATTGTGTAGCTATGTTTTTTATTGGGTATTGACCGGAGGCCACCCTCAGGTCCTAGACACCACCTGCTGTTGGGCTTCCTCAATATGGTCACACACTTCATCAAATCAGCAAGGAGAATCTTGTGTGCATGCCAGCAATATGTCTATCTCATATCCTAATGTATGTCTCTCTCCTCCTCCTCCTCTCCTCTTCCCTCTCCTTTCTTCTGTGCGCACACACACACACACACACACACACACATATCCCAGGAGTAACAACCCATCACATTTGCAATATTGTGTCAGTTAGAAACAAGTCACAGATCCTACTCACACTTACTCGATTTCATCCAAAAGCTTGGGCAGTGATCCCATCCACACTAAAAAAGGAAGAGATCATACAGAGTATAACACCAGGACATCGAGATCATGGGAAACATCTTAGAAGTCTGCCTATCACAGATAATAAATACTTGTTGTTGTTTGAAGACATTAAGTTTCAGGTAATTTCTTATGCAGCAATAGACAACTAATTAGTAAGAGTTGTGCCTAACTAATTAGGCACAAGTTAGAATATAAGGAGTGAAGAGTTATCACTATAGATCCTACAGATACTAAAAGATAAGAGTTTGTTTTACTATAAGCAAGCCTATCACAATAAGACTATTTAGATTAAAAGGCTGGTAAGTTTTATGCTTTGTATATTTTACCATGATAAAAACATTTTATAAGCATCACTTACCATTTGATCACTTATTAAATGCTAAGTGTTTTACATACATTTCATTAATCCTTAGAACAACTTTGTTCAGTAAAAATTATTCCTGGTTTACAGAGGAGAAAACTGAGGCTCAGAAAGGCTACTCATTTATTTGAAGTCTCACAGCCTTCATAATGTTATTCATGCACTCTTTATGCCCTAGAGAGTTGGAGAAATTGCAGGGGAGAATCTCAGAAATAACTAAAATAATTGAAGATGTAATCAAGAAACAAAAGTACAGTGTTTGAATAGAGACCAACTAAAGACGGCTCTGACTGGTTCAGTCTACATATAATTGAAAGGTAAATCACTAGGAAAAGGAAGAAATCTCTAGGTTTCAAGATGAAATAGAAGTCATGAGAATTCTATAAATTTAAATTCAAGTTCACTGAAGAGAGCTAGGAGTCAGCTACTGTTTGCTACAGATAATATTTAGTAAGGAGCTAACTGCTAATGCACTGGCCTGGGGAAGTGTTTAATGTCAAATAGAAACCAACACTAGTAAAATACTTCCAGGAGGTAAGAATATTTTTTCTGAGACAGAGTCTTGCTCTGTCCCCAAGGCTGGAATGCAGTGGCATGATCTTGGCTCACTGCAACCTCCACTTCCCAGGTTCAAGCAATTCTCCTGCCTCAGCCTCCCTAGTAGCTGGGATTACAGGCACACACCACCATGCCCAGCTGATTTTTGTAGTTTTAATAGAGATGCAGTTTCACCATGTTGGCCAGGGTGGTCTCAAACTCCTGACCTCAGGTGATCCGCCCGCCTTGGCCTCTCAAAGAGCTGGGATTACAGGCATGAGCCACTGCACCTAGCTGCTCCTTCTTTTTTTGTAATGGACCTGGGAGATCTTTAGGAATGAGGGAAAGACTCATTTCTTTGAATAAGGCAGAATATTAAAGACTAGCCAGCCTTCAGCCTTATGGTGGTTGCTGCTATTCTGTTGAACGTAAACCATAGCCTTTAGAAAGGAGCAAGTCTTTGTGGGATACACAGGATTTGAAGTGCATCAAAGGGGTGGAAACTCAGCTGACCATGATACCCTCAAGTGACTTTTTCCACTGAATTTGATTATTTTCTCACTTGGCACTTCTTTCTGGGCTTTTTAAGCAGCCCCAAAGCTCTAGGTGATTTTACTTTTGTAATTGTATTCTCTTGGGAATGCTCATTCCTGATTGTTTCAGTAAACAGCCTTGAACTCCTGGCTTCAAGTGATCCTCCCACCTCACCCTCCTGAGTATTTGGGACTACAGGCTGCAGAAACTTTAAAGAGAAAATAGAGGGAACAGAGCCAAGCTCATTTATTGAGATTAAGATAAACTTGATATCAAAACTAGACTTGTCACAGAGAGTGCAAGAGGCGGGAGTTATCTCCCAAATCCAAGTTCTGCCTCTGGATTATTAGACATATCCTCACTGTCCTTGATCTGCAAGGAATTTATACTGATTAGAGCATTAGTAAAAGCTATGTTCTATTCATCATGAAAAGTCATTTTTTAAAGGCTCCAGAATTATTAGAGGCAGAAACAAATTGAAAGGTTGTACACCTACACCTGTTGTTTGAAAAACACAACTTACCAAAGCCAAACAGAAGAAGTATGTAAACTCTTATGTCTAGTAATAGGCAGAATGCGTAATTTAAAACTTTCCCACAAAAACAATTTCCAGTTCCTGATGGCTTCACTGGTGAATTCTTCAATGAAAGGGAAAAGTAACACCAACACTACAGAATTACTTTTTTAATTTCAGGGACAGATTTTTTTTTTTAAATCTTAGTGACAGAGTCTCACTATGTTGCCCAGGCTGGAGTGCAGTGGCTTTTGACAGTCAAGTTCCAGTGATCCTCCCACCTCAGCCTCTGGAGTAGCTGGGACTACAGGTTACAGAAACTTTTTTTTTTGGGACAGAGTCTCGCTCTGTCACCCAGGTTGGAGTGCAGTGGCGCAGTCTCGGCTCACTGCAAACTCCGCCTCCTGGGTTCACGCCATTCTGTCTCAGCCTCCTTGGTAGCTGGGACTACAGGCACCCACCACCACACCTGCCTAAATTTTTTTTGTTGTATTTTTAGCAGACACGGGGTTTCACCATATTAGCCAGGATGGTCTCGATCTCCTGACCTCGTGATCTGCCCGCCTCGGCCTCCCAAAGTGCTGGGATTACAGGCGTGAGCCACCGTGCCTGGCCAGAAATTTTAAGAGAACAAAAATAAAGGGAACAGAGCCATGCTCATTTTTTGAGATTACAATAAACTTGATATCAAAAGTAGTCTAAAAAATTACAAAAAGTAAAACTACAGGCTAATCAGTCACATGAACACGAGCCCAAAAGTCATTTTTAAAAACAGCACACTAAGCAGGGCACAGTGGTTCATGCCTGTAATCCCAGCACTTTGGGAGGCCGAGGTGGGAGAAGTGCTTAAGCTCAGGAGTTCCCTTTATTTTTGTTCTCTTAAAAGTTTCTGTAGCCTGTAGTCCCAGCTACTCAAGAGGCTGAAGTGGGAGGATAACTGGAACGTGACTGTGAATAGCCACTGCACTCCAGCCTGGGCAACATAGTGAGATCTGTCCCTAAGATTTAAAAAAAATCTGTAATGTTGGTGTTATTTTTTCCCTTTCATTGAAGAATTCACCAGTGATGCCATCAGGAACTGGGGATTGTTTTTGTGAGGAAGTTTTAAATTATGGACTCTATTTATTTCATAATTATAGGAGTATACATACTTCTTATGTTTGGTTTTGGTAAGTTGTGTTTTTCAAACAGTAGGTATACAACCTTTTAATTTGTTTCTGCTTATAATAATTGTGGGATCTTTTATTTAAAAAATGATTGATTTTCATGAATAGAAGATAGGTTTTACTAATACTACACTCAATGTTAATTCCTTGCAGTTCAAGGACACTGAGGCCCCGTCTAATAATACAGAAGAAAAACTAGGATAGTGGCAAGACTAGCCTGGGGAGCAAACTGAGACTCCAGTTCAAAAAAATAAAAAATTAGCCAGGTGTGGTCACACACATTCTGTGGTCCCAGCTATTCGGGAGGCTGAGGCAGAAGAATAGCTTGAACCCAGGAGGTGGAGGTTGCAGTGAGCCTAGCTTGTGCCATTGCACTCCAGCCTGGGCGACAAGAGTGAAATTCTGTCTCAAAAAAACAAAACAAAACAAAACAAACAAACAAACAAAATATATAAAGAGAGAGAGAGGCTGCCTAGAGAGGAGTAATACACTAAACTAGCAATGCTAGTTTCAATTTAGGGTGAATTACTTCAGTAGAGAACCGAAGTACGTGCACTAGTCTGAATATGTTAATTTAAATTAAAAAAAAACAAAAACTTAAAAAAAATTAGAGATGGGGTCTTGACATGTTGCCTGGGCTGAATCCACTCCTAGGCTCAAGCAGTCCCCCCACCTCAGCTTCCCAAGTAGCTGAATAAGCTAATTAACTTGTTTTGTTTCTCTCAGGGAGTGCACAACAGGTGGAGGGAGGAGGCAGGAGGGTGGGGATGAGAGCACCTTCCCAAGAAAAGGACTGGAAGAGTTTATAACAACCAGGAGAGGCCTGGGGCACAGCAAAGGGAACTGGCCTTTGCCTCGAGGAGAAAGGAACGCCTCCTCCCTTCTTCCAGCCTCCCTTAAGAAAAATACCCAAGAATGCCCCCAGCCCTGTGAGCACAGAGCACTGGTGTGAGTTGTTTACTTGTTAATGAGTTTGCACCACTGTCTGCATGTAATGAGTCATTCAGGTCATTCTGGGATGACGTTGGTATGCACAAACCCCTCCTTTAATCTGGTTGGCTAGTTCAGAATAGACAAGTTTTAACACTGCTTCCTTCTCCCATCGAGAAGTAAAGCCCAGGTTCTGAGGAACAGACTCCATCTGGAGACCATGTTTGGTGAACCTGAGCTTCGGGAAAGACACGGCTTCAAGCCTCAAGTCGTTTTGCCCCTTCCTGTGGCTGACAGCATGAGAGGTCAGGATCACAACGAATTTTACCATTTTGACGGGGATTTTAAAACGTCACTGTTTAAAAAACGCTGCTTTGAAAATATTTTTAATCTTGATTTATATAAGCATTTATTTCTTGATAATATTTGAATTATAACCTAATTGATAGATTTAATATTCTTCGGGGCTAAGACTACATGAGAAAAAAATGTTATACAGATTTTTTAAATGATTCCTGGGCTTAAGGAAAAAATTAATTTTAAATCCTTACCAGTCTCCTAGATAATTAACGAGCAGGTGCTGCCTGGGAGTGTAAAGATTTTTAGGTCTTATGACCTCGTGGCCGCTTGGTCCAAAAAATAAGATTACTTGCCTCTTTCCTTATTCTTACTGGATAGAATGAGACTTGTTTAAAACGTCTCGTTTAGGTTAGAAAAGAAAATGGGAAACCATATTTGTAATCGACCTGACATTTATAAGTACCTGATTTAAATGAACTTTACCCAAAGCACACTCCACAAAAGGCACTTCAAATTTCACTGGAGCACAGCCCTTTGTGTTGTAGAATATTGTAGAATAAAATGGCTTTCTTTTTTTAACTACACCACAACACTCTTAAGGAAATGAAAGTAGGTAAGGCATCTATCTGTGAACAGCAGTGCTATCCATTCCATGAATGTTTAGGGTTTACTCCATGTTAGGCACTAGGGATAGGATGGCAAACAGGGCAGACGGGTCCCCTGACCTCTTCCACCACCCTACAGTCGAGTGAAGAAAGTAGATTTTTAAAACATTATTATTATACTTTAAGTTTTAGGGTACATGTGCACAATGTGCAGATTACTTACATATGTATACATGTGCTATGCTGGTGTGCTGCACCCATTAACTCGTCATTTAGCATTAGGTATATCTCCTAATGCTATCCCTCCACCCTCCCCCCACCCCATATTGCTCTTGTCTCCCAGGCTGGAGAACAGTGGTGCTATCTCGGCTCACTGCAACCTCCGCCTCCTGGGTTCAAGGAATTCTGCCTCAGCCACATGAGTAGCTAGGATTACAGGCGTGCAACACCACACCTGGCTAATTTTGTATTTTTAGTAGAGATGGGATTTCGCCAGTTGGCCAGACTGGTCTCGAACCCCTGACCTCAGGTGATCCTCCTGCCTTGGCCTCCCAAAATGCTGGGATTGCAGGCATGAGCCACCATGTCCAGCTAGATTTTAAATATTAACAAAATAATTATAAGTTCTGATTATTACTATTAAGAGAAAAGCACAGAGATAGAATAACATCAGAGAGGGGGCACCACCACTTTAGGAAGCCAGGGAAGGGCTGGAGGAGGTGAAATTTAGGCAAAGATTGAAGGACATTAGGAGTCAGACCTGCCATAGCAGGAGGGAATAGCATCCCTGACAGAGAGGAAAGCTTGTTCAGAGCCACAGTCCTGAAAGAAGCTTGTTTGAGGGACTACAAGAAGACCAATGTGCTTGAAGCATAATACGTCTAAGATCAGATGTGTGATGAGTTTGAAGAGGCAGCTAGATCACCGTAAGAACTTTGGAGGGCTTTTGGCAGGAGAGTGACATGATCTGATCTGATGTATATTTTGAAAGGTCACTCCAGCTTCCAGGTAGCAGTGGAAGAAGACATGCAAAAATCACAATCATAACTTACAGTGCAGCAGTGGAAGCAGACACGCAAAAATCACAATCATAACTTACACGGCATGGTAGCTTGGAGTACGGAGGAAAAGGAAGCACATTTGGGGTATATTTTGGAAGTGGAATAAACAGATCTGCTGATGGATGGAAAAGGGTGGGGTGAGGGTTGGTAATGAGGAGCCAAGGATGACTCATTTTCAGGTTGGAGTAACTGGGAAGGCTTGGAAGACTAGTGGAGAAACAGGTTTGGAGAGAGAAGTCTCAGTCCCTTAGTCATTCACCTCAGTTTCTTAGTCACTGGAATACCTTAGATCTCTTATCTACCATTTCTTTAAAAACATGCGTGAGCCCAGGGAGGCCAATGTGGAAGGATCCCTTGAACCCAGGAGTTTGAGGCATACCTGGGCAACACAGCAAGACCCTGTCTCTCTAAAAACAACAACTACAAAAAAACGGGGGGGGGGAGCAGAAAGAGGCTGGGCACAGTGGCACATGCCTATAATCCCAGCACTTTGGGAGGCCGAGGCAGGTGGATCACATGAGATCAGGAGTTCGAGACCAGCCTGACCAACACGGTGAAAACTTGTCTCTATAAAAATACAAAATTAGCCAGGCATGATGGCATGCACCTGTAATCCCAGCTACTTGGGAGGCTGAGACAGGAGAATCGCTGGAACCTGGGAGGTGGAGGTTGCAGTGAGCCAAGCTAGTGCCACTACACTGCAGCCTGGGTAACAGAGCAAGACTCTGTCTCAAAAAACAAACAAACAAACAAACAAACAAACAAAAACAGAAAGAAACATGTGTAGCAGAAAATTGCTGCCTGCTGGGCCTAAACTAACCCAAGATTTTTAAAAAATATATATATATATAGCAAGAGCTTACAGAACAGGCAGCACCAAGTGGGAGCTGGGGGGCTTGTCTTGATGCTGCATTTGATAAATATACACAGTTTTACTCAGATTATATGTTTGCTTAGATTTGGGCTAAGATCCCCAAAGCCACCCCTTGGTATTGACACTCATTAAGAAATTAAGGAAGAGATAGTACTATTGAACTATTTTCCAAAAAAAGAAAAAAAAAGGACAAAAACCCAAAACAAATGGGATGTGATGTACATTTTCCATGTTATTTTATACATGAGCTATCTTTCCAATACTGAAGTTGGTTTAGCAAGAAAATAATTAAAGACGTCAATGTGCAAGCCAAGAGCCAAAACCACTCTCAACAGCCCAAGGTTGTGAACGTATTTAATTTGCCGTTTCCCTGGGAAGTCATTTTTTGGATCATTGACTTAATATTATTCAGTAAAACAGTGGTAGCCCCTGCCTTCCTCTGCTTGCTGCCAAGAGTATGATCCAGCTGTGGGGTCTGAAGAGTCTATGTTTATTGGATTTTAATGACTTAGTTAACAAAGGTCATTCTTAAAAGTAATAGAAAACTAAGGGTGTGGAAACAGAACGGAAAAGACTGACTCGAGGGTTATTTCTATTAGTTCCTTGGTGTTGTCCTTAGATACATGTTTAATCCTTAAAAGCAATTATGAAGGAGTCTTCCTCATAACCAATTTACTGATGCTATATTCAACTATACTTGTAAAATGTTATTTTAACCCTCTCAGTAACAAAAGGAACAGGGCTTAAAATATGTTAGATAATATTGCCATAAACAATGTACTGGTAACATAATATTGCTGACAGTATAATTGTAATTCACTGTAATACTTGAATGCCACAACTGTAGTGCTTCCATTATCGCTGACGGTAGGAAATAACTTCAGTCTCAGGTGAAATCTGGTTGGATACAAATCTCCAAGTTAAAAGAAACCTCAAGGATCATTTAATCTTGTCCTTTTAAATATTTAGTAACTCATTTGGTAGTAAATATTTATCCAAATTATGTTTCTTAGGCTGTTAAAGAATTTCCAGGCTGGGTGTGCTGGCTCACGCCTGTAATCTTAGCACTTTGGGAGGACGATGCAGGAGGATCACTTGAGGCCAGGCGTTCGGGAACAAATTGGGCAACAAAATCAGACTTTATTCAAAGTAAATAAAACTAAAAAAAAAATTAGGGGCCGGACACAGTGGCTCACACCTGTAATCCCAGCATTTTGGGAGGCCAGGGCAGGAGGATCACCTGAAGTTAGGAGTTCAAGACCAGCTGGACCAACATGGAGAAACCCCATCTCTACTAAAAGTACAAAATTAGCCAGGCATGGTGGCGCATGCTGCTAATCCCAGCTACTTGGGAGGCTGAGGCAGGAGAATTGCTTGAACCTGGGAGGTGGAGGTTGCGTTGAGCCCAGATCACACCATTGCACTCCAACTTGGGCAACAAGAGCGAAACTCTGTCTCTAAATAAATAAATAAATTAGCTGGGTATGGTGGCACACACCTGTAGTCACTTCTACTCGGGAGGCTCAGGTGAGAGGATTGCTTGAGCCCAAGAGTTCGGGGTGTTGTGAGCTATGATCGCACCACTATACTCCAGCCTGGGTGACAGAGGAAGACCCTGTCTCAAAAAAAACAAAACAAAAAAAAACTTGAGCTAAATGGTGATTGAATTATTTGAAATTAAATTGATGAAATCATTTAAGAATATGTGGAAAGAAAGAAATTTACAGTCATTCCTCAGGTATAAATTAAATATTTTCCACCTCAAAAATCCAATGACATGAGATATAAATGTATAGTTCACATATGTAATACATTTCTCACATGGTTACAGAACCTTTCTGATCTGGCTCCGGTTGACTTTTCCAGCCTTATCTCATTTCTCCCCCCTCCTTCCAGCCGTTTTTTCTTCCTCCTCTCCTTAGCTACAGCTTTACTAATCTTCCTACTGTGAGCCTCAAACCCACGCTGCTCTCAGGTCTCAGGGCCTATGTACAAGTAATTCCCACTGCCTGGAATCCCTTGCCCTCATTCTTTGTTGGGTCATTCTGCAGACCCAGTACTACTTCCTCTTGGGAGCCTTTGTCCATCTCCTCTTCCCCCAATCTCCGAACCCCACCAAGACCTCAGTAGTTCTTGAGCAAGCCTCTGCTTAGTTTTCCTGGGATGACCAAAACTAACACTGTCTGATCCGTTGTTCAATCCCCAATCCCTAGAACAGAGCTGCAACATAACAGGCACTCTAAATGAATGAATGGATAAAGACAGCACTGAATAACTTCAAATTATAGTTTACACATGTAAACAGTAACATAAATCTGAAGAAATAAAGGTTTTTTTGTTTGTTTTTTCGAGATGGAGTCTCGCTCTGTCACCAGGCTGGAGTGCAGTGGTGCAATCTGGCCTTACTGCAACCTCCGCCTCCCGGGTTCAAGCGATTCCCCTGCCTCAGCCTCAGCGTCCCAAGTAGCTAGGACCCAAGGCACGCGCCACCACGCCTGGCTTTTTTTCTTTTTTTTCTTTTTTTTTTTGTATTTTAGTAGAGATGGGTTTCACTATGTTGGCCAAGACGGTCTCAATCTCCTGACCTTGTGATCCACCTGCCTCAGCCTCCCAAAGTGCTGGGATTACAGGCGTGAGCCACCGGGCCTGGCCAAGTTGTTGTTTTTAAAAGATACATTTCAACTCACTTCTCTAAGGCGGGAATACACACAGCCTGCCATCAGTTTGACATAAAACAAAAATTTTAGCGTTGTCGTATGCTAAATTTCTTTTACTAGGTTAAAAAAATGTAGAATCCAAAGAGCTGTAAATGCAAATAACAAATACTGTACAAAATTTATCAAGCAACTATAAGTCACAACTTGCAAGTTTTCTCCTCAGCAAATGAGTTAAAAAGAAAAGTATTTGAAACTTTCTTGGTAGAAAACGAATGACCTTTAAAAATGCCAACATTTTCCCCAGAGAGTAGATTTGGTCTGAGTTCTTCATTTCTGAAATTGTACAAGATAAGACCGCTTGGTTTGGAAGTCAAACTGCATCCTTCTAAAAAGGTTTTAGATATTTTAAGTCTCCATACAAAACACTCCCCTTATTTTCAGAACAAAAGGAACAATAAGACAGCTTAGGCGGGGCAGAGAAAGAAAGGCCTTGAAACAAAGTCCCTGGAAAGGTAAAAACAACAACAAAAATAGTACGTTAGAGCTTGTGTTAGATCTGATAACTCAAAACTGCACAACTTTTGCCATACATCAAAAGCAACATGGGAAAACAGAAAAAGAGATCACAAACACTTTTTGAGTGTCCTAACTTGTAGAACCCCTAAGAATGAAACAAATACACTTGGACAAAGCTCTTTTTTTCTCTCTCTCCTTCAAGTCTCACACTAGGGGTGTGGGGCGGGGGACAGGGAGTAAGATGGGGTCTCTAATAAATACAAAACCCAGCCTCAGACGTGTTTAATTGCTGGCATTTTAGAAGAAAAATGGGCTACTTACAATTAATGAACCAAACTACCAAACTAAAATCATGAGTAGGAGGAGGAGTAAATGGAACTGTCTGGGCGAAGTTTCAGAAAGCGCAAGCTGGGGTCGCTGCGCCCTCCCCCACCCATACCTCGGGGCTCTCCAGTCGCTCCCGGCCCCCAGCGCGGACTTTCGGGCGCCGGCGGCCCAACCATACAGACTTGGCAGGATGTAGCCCCCTTCTCCCCTCTCCAAGAGAGAAAAGTGCGAGGAGACGCAAACCGTATTTCCGTGTCCGAGCGCTGAAACCTGCGGAGTCGCACGCGGGGCGCCCACACTCGTTCCCAGGGAGCCCCAGCCCGGTCGCCCGCCCCGGTCACAGCTCCAGCCCCGGCCTCCCTTACTCTGGGGCTCCATGATCGGCTGCTCCCCGCCCTCCGCGGGCGAACGCCCGGGCTCCTAACGCCTCTCAGCCAGGGCCGGCGTCCCTACGGTTGCCCTGACAACCCGGAGGCAGAGTGGGCAGAACCAGAGGGATGGCGAGCGGGAGGGACCAAAAGCCGCAGGAAGTGAGGGAGCGCGTGAGGATCCGCGCGTCGCTGGGGACACTGAGCGACGGTAGCGGCCAGGTCACCGGCTGAGGACACTGCCTGTGAAGCCCGGTCAGGTGGTCGCGCCCTCCCTGGCGGCCCCCGCGGCCCCGCAGGACCTGTGCCCCGACTTCACCGACCCACGGCGTCCGTTGGGCGAGTGGGCCTGCCCGCGGGTAAGGCGCCGGCCCTGGGCCGCCCTCCCGGGACTCGGGAGGCGCCGCTGCAGGTAACAGCTGGGCCCCGGCGGCGGAAGGGGTCGGGGGTCGGCGCAGGGGCGGGCGCGCCCCGAGCCGGGTGGGCGGACCCAGCGCACCTGTTGTAGCCACCTGGGGGTCCCCTGCCCGCAGTTGGCCGTGGACATTCCCTGCCCCGACTCTGAAACGCCGAGGGCGGCCTCCGCGCCCTCTGCTCCGGGAGCCACGCCTCAGCGAGAGGACGGAGCCCTGCTGGCAGGCCTCGCACCAGGGGCTCCCTCCGAGCCCGGGCATGGGCCGGGCCTGGGGTGGTCCCTGGAGCCCCCCTGACGGGAAGCGTGGAGCAATGCGAGCCGCTGCCATCGTCGCTGTCGTCCCCAGTGAGCTGGGAGCGCCTCCTGAATCGCGAGAGCCAGGAGCACGGCTTTGCCCGGCTTTGCCCGGCTTTGCCCCGTCATCCCCGTGTCCCATTTCAGGCAGGGGGCCCAGGTTGGATCTTTCTCACTGGCTTCGTTTTGTGTGTGTTGATTTGTTTCAGTCCTTCGCGTTTCCAGTTGAGTTATGGAATCTGCCCACACGTTTTGTGGCCAAACTTTGTAGGGCTGTGAAACAATGTAACATTATCCCACACAATAGTCTTTCATACTGGTTTTAAAACACAGTGATGCAGGGTTTGCTTTAAGGAAGCTTTGAGGATCACAAGGGATTATTATCTGGTAGGTTGTAAAAATTCAAACAACCGGCAGAGTATCATAGGTTCTGGAACACCGGAAGGAGGAAAGAAAAATGGAGAGGACAGAAAAAGGATAAGCAAGAAAGTGCAGGGGCATTAAGGGTGTGGGGGGCTGCAGGATTGATTTGGTACTCAGGTCTGGAGATTATGGCCCCTCTATTAGTTCCAACCGCTGCTCCAGACAGTACTTGAGGGAAATGGAAGGAAGAGCCGTTATGGGGGTCATGCAAGTGATTAATAATCTTGCCAGTATAAAGATTTCCACTCCATGGATGACAAGGACACTAAGGAGAATTACTTTCCTCTTAGAAAGGGAATCATTGAGAGGTTAATTGAACTTGAGAAGCATATATTCTGTGATGGAAACTGACATATATTATATTCTTCCAAATTAGCTCTTCCCCCTCTTAGACTATATGGGGACTTTTTCAGATTAATTGTCAAAACAAGAAGGTTTATGTGTGGATATTGACAAGCAGCGTGATATATACAGAACACATAATTCTTAAGCTGAAGTATTAAGGTAATAATTTGAGGGTGGAAAGTAAACACTTCATGGAACCTTAACTCCCTGTTCCTGAAATTTGGAGACAGGGCTTCATTTTTAGACAGAAAGTATCTAAAGATCAGCAGTACTTCTGTATCCAGTGGTTCTCAAGTTCTAGTTTACATATCATTAGCAAAATCACAAAGCGGTCTTTTCATTCAAGATACAAATAGAGTGATCAGTATATCATAATCAAAAGTGACAAGATATTGATTTAAAAAACACCTGGCATTTATTGACAAAAGAAAAGGTAAGATTAAGTCTGCTCAAACAGTAAAGGATTAGCATTAGTATTTTTTTAAAAAGAAGAAACAACAGTGCAGGTCTCTATATTAAAGTAGTAAGGACTGAAGAAATTTTAAGTTTGTAAAAAATGGGGATATGTATTGGTGAAACACTTTGTAATCATATAGAATGATTATTTTATCAGCAGCTGTGAAGTTGACTTCGAGGAAATTTTGAATTGAAATACTTTAGGTGACAAGTAAAGGCAACTGTTAAAAGCAACATTTGATTTTAGGGGACAGGGTACCTGTGGAAGAAGACTGGTTAGGAGTGGAAGTGAGGCGTAAAAGCACTGAAATGTCTGAGGCAGGGACAATATTCAGTTTCTGTTCCTCTATCACCTAGTGCAATGTACTTGTTAAACGTTTTTGAATGAGTGAGAAGGGCTTTAGAGAAATTGTTTGGATATAGGGATACACATTACTATTGGAAAAAACACCCGAGATCAGAAAGTTGCTAATGAGATAGGGGTGGGGGATGAATGGTAAAGACACTGATTGTACCTTTTTGGAGTTTTCTACCATTGTGTTTTATTTCTTTTCACCAGCATGTTCAGTATGTTATTAGTGGTCAAATGAAAAGGAATAAAGTTCTATGTATATTTTTTTAAGTCTCCAAGCTCATTACTAGATAGAATAGTTACATTATTGTTTACTTTGCTGGTGTTAAGCTAAATGTAGCAAACTGAAGCATTATGGATAGGGAATAACAAAGTAACAATGAAGAAACAGATGTTGTCTTTTTTCTTATTTAAATCTCTTGACTATTTCAGAATTCAAAGTAGAAATAACTTTAGTGGGAGGTTAACATTATTTAATGCAAATAGGTTGATATAAATATAGCAAATGAGCATGCTATTAATAGTTCTGTCTTCTAGCCTTACTGTGGTAAGTTGAAGGAAGTTTTCATTTTTGTTTTTGTTGGTTTTAGGGTTTTTGTTGGTTTTTGTTTTCTTTTCCAGAGTCAGGGTACTTTTTTCTCTATCTGATACTTTCTGAAACTCTTAAGGAGTTCGGTCAAAGGTGGAAAACAATCAAATTTCTATTTTTGGTGTTTTCCTCTTTATTCTCCAAACTTGTCATGGTCTACATTCAATTTGTTGCACTCACATGGAATGTCTATCTCTCAGCCGTTTACTCATCCACAGTCTAAAGGAGACTGACCGGGTGCATTGGCTGACGCCTGTAATCCCAGAACTTTGGAAGGCTGAGGTGGGCGGATCACGAGGTCAGGAGATCAGGACATGGAGACCATCCTAGCAAACATGGTGAAACCCCGTCTCTACTAAAAATACACAAAGTTAGCTGGGCATGGTGGCGGGCACCTGTAGTCCCAGCTGCTCGGGAGGCTGAGCCAGGAGAATGGCGTGAACCCGGGAGGCGGAGCTTGCAGTGAGCAGAGATTGGGCCACTGTACTCCAACATGGGTGACCGAGCAAGACTCTGTCTCAAAAAAAAAAAAAGTTAAATAAATAAATAAATAAATAAATAAATAAATAAAGGGGACTGCAGGAGCATGCTGCCCCAGTTTCTGGAAAGTCTTTCAGGATTAGGCTAATGCCCACTAAATGCACTTCTCTCTCCTACTGGGGGTGCTACACGGTTTAGCATTTAGCTCTGTAGGATATTTTCCTATAGAATTTTATCTCATATGGTTGGATCTTGTACCTCTGACTAGATTAAATATGTTTGGAGCTAAGTGCATGACTTACGCTTCTTCTGTGTTGCTTTTAGCACACGGTGGGCTTCATTGTGTACCTGATAATTTAAGTAGGGTAATAATAGAGAGGTCAAACCTTTAGTTTGGGGTCATTGCATTAATTTCTAGCTTTGCCCCTTTGGAAAAACAGAAGCTATTATTTTGTCATTGATAACTTGGGATAATAAAACCTGCAATGGTTGTCCGATAGTCTAGTTGCGAGAATCAAGATAAATGTTATTATAGATTATGAATGAAAATATCTTGTATGTCGTAATGAACTTTTTTAATATAAAAGGCTGTTATTGACTTAGGCATAGAGCAGACATTGATACCACATTCACAATGTGTTAGGTACTTCCTGAGCTCTGGAATTGCATGTCATAAAGGGTGAACAGGAAATGACCAGGTGCTTCTGAAGCAGAACAGCCTGGGCTGAGGCACGAAGGCTGGGAGAACAAGCAAGCCTTGGTTTATTGTGGCTGAACTGGAGAATACTTCTTCACGTGTATTAGCAGAAAATGGGAGGAAGTAAGGCCAGAAAGGCAAATGTGGGCCAAATCAGAAGGAACCTAAGGACCATGAGTTTATTTTCCTTAAAGGTAATAAGGAGGATTTGGGTCAGTGACTGGATCAGTTTTGCATTTGGAAAGGATCACTGGCAACACTCAAATGACAGATTGGTAGAGAGCTTAAATGAGAGACCAAAAAATTGGAGATGTTGTTGAAGCTCAGTGAAGAAATGAAGAGAACTAGGAGAGCGATGGTGGGAATAAGAAGGAGGGGCCACGAAAAAAGGTAGAATTGGCAGATCTTGGTGATACAGGAGATGAGGAAGGAGAAGCCAGGGATGACAGTGGGGTGATAGAGTGGATTGTTCTGTTATTCATTGAACTCTAAAGAAGAAAAAAAAATTGAGGAGTTTAAGAAGTGGGGTAGATGTGTTCAGTTTGAGAAGCCTGTCATATATGTTGGGAGGTCCCATAAGTAGTTGGACATGTGGGTCTGGAACTAAAGGGAAAAAGTCTGAGATGAAGATAGAAATTTGGATTAAGCATTTAGTGATTGAAGTTAAAATGTGATTATTTTCTCCAGGGATATTATGTGGAATAAGAGGGTAAAGGATAGAGCCCTGAAGTATGCACATTTTACGTTGTGGGGAGGGGCTGATGGTGGAAGAACCCGCGGAGACTAAAGACGAGTGTTCAGAAAAGGGAACTGAAAATCTGGGAGGATTAATGGAAGAGTGCCTACTCCTGAGGAGTTCATGCATTGGCATTCCCCAAAATGATTATATTTTCCTCTAGTCACCATAGAACGCACAACACAGTTCATCTATTATTGTTTTATTAAAGTTCATGTAAAATGACTACCCATTACTTTGTTAACAACAGAAATCTTCATATTTATGTTTAAAAATATTTTTGAAACATTTTTAAACAGATTTTTTAGATACAGAGTATTGCTATGTTGCCTACGCTGGTCTGGAACTCCTGGGCTCCTCCAGCCTCAGCCTTCCAAAGTGTTGGGATTCCAGGCATGAGCCACTGTGCCTGTGTCTATTTATGGATTTTTTTGTCTACATTTGGGACAACAAATCAAGTAAAATGTAACTTTAGAAGTTGATTATGATTATGCCTCAAGCAAATACTTAAAAAAAAAGAGAGAGAGAGAGATGGATAAAAGTTAATTTTGTGTATATCTCAGGTAAACTATGTTAACTTGGGGAGACCAGCAGTAACCTGTTCTTTAAATCTCAGCTTTTATTGAATCTCACACAAAATTTTTCTCAGATATGTCACTAGACTACTTAAATAAGCCAGATTAGTATTTTTGCATACTTTATTAACTCTGCTTCTACTCAAAGTAAATTAGTTTTTGGAATGGAATGCAGTCAAAAAATCATCAAAATAATATCACAAAGCACTGAGTGGTCCAGTCTTTTGAACTTCTGACAATACCTTTGACTTAGAAACTTATTTGTGGGGAGTGGTATATTAATACTCTACATAAACATTGATTGAGCTTGGGGGGACTTTCTGTAGATACATTTAAAAATATGTTTTTTAGTAGAGACAGGGTCTCACTGTGTTGCCCAGGCTAGTCTCTAACTCCTGGGCTCAAATTATCCTCCCCACTTGGCCTCCCAAAAGGATTGGATTACAGGCATAAAGCCACTGCCCCAAGCCTAAAATTTTTTAAAGTACCATTAGAATGTAAGGATTCTTTTTAAAAAATATGATTGTGCAGGGTTGGTTATTCAACCAGTATGCAATACAATACTCAATACTGTATATTCATCACTTCTCGGCCTTTTGGCTAAGATCAACTGTAGTATCTGTTGTTATTAATATAATATTTTATATTCAACCAATTGTCAATACAAGGCTGGTTGTATCTGATATGAACCAACATTGAGTTAAAAATGGACCTTTTTTATTTTTAAAAAGCTAATTAACTAGATTTGCTTACTTAAAATCAAAGCAATCAACTCGTTACAAGTCTAGAAATAAGGATTTTAAAATAAATTTTGAATTTTGACCTTATCTTTTCCCAGAAAGACTTTAAATTGATACTGGAAACCAAATAGGATATATTTTTGGGAGATTTGAGGCTATTAAAACAAAGGCAAACACAGAAGTGACCTTCTAAAAGTCCTAGTAATGATTAGGTCCATTGTTTCAATTAAAGCATACCGTGCTTGAGAGATAAAGTGTATTAAATATTTGACTGTAACTTTGTATTAGAAATATGTTTTTCAAATCTATAAAAAGATTTACAAATCTATCTTTACCATGTTTTTTAGTTTTATGGTATTTCTTCCAGACCTCTCTTCCTGACATCTCCATTAGTGTCAAGTATTTCTTCAACCCCCAGTGATTCAACGTGAGCCTATTTTTTAAAATGTAGTCTGGAAGCAATATATAACATAGTCAGGAAGCAGTATGGATATATGGTTAAGCATATACACTATACACTTAACTGGGGTTAAGCAGAGATCATACTGCCTGACTTTAAGCACCTGCCCTACCACAGATGATCTTCTAGAAGCTGTTTAAATTAAACCTCTGAAGGTTTACATTTCCTCATTTGAAAAATGGAAATAAAAAAGTAAACCCTCATGAGGTCCTTAAGAGTTTAAATGAAATAATCCATATAAAGTGCTTAAGTGCTGAACATAGCATCTGGTGTGCAATAATCATTCTATAAATGCTAATTGGTAAAATTATCATCATTGTTGTTGTTAGTCCATATATAGTAGTAGCATGGAACCAGGATTCTGAAAAGTGTGGCCTGCAGATCAGGGCCAGTGCAGACTTACTGGTTTGCAGTGAGATCCAGAGCTTGTGCCAGAATGTAAATAGGCGATGTCACTAAACATACTGATTACTGTTCAGCTGACTTTTTAAAAATAGCAAGACCTCTTCAGTGTAGGAAGCAGTTAGTTGATTTACATTCTGGTGCAAGCTCTTTACCTTGCCACAAACCAGCAGCAGAGTTGACGTGGAGTATTGGACCGATGATCCCACTCTCCAAAAAATAATAGTCCTTTATTCTGAAGACGTTATTATTCACTCATAATACCTCATTAACTTTCTTTTTTTCTAAACATTGTAATAATAGATTATAAGTATATTGTTTATGAGTTCAGCAGATATTTACTGATCACATAGTTTGTGTACAGACCTGTATCTTATTTTGCAGGAGTTGCAAAGCTGGCTCAGAAATTAATCTTGCCTTTAAGAAGTCTACCATAAACCCGCAAGAGGAAATAAGTGAAAATCTAAATAAATGTGTTGAATATATGCAGTGAGTGTTTGCAATAGTGTTATAGCTTGGTTCCAAAGATTTCAATATAGACGGATGTTTCCTTTTGCTGAGCTTCTACCACAATAGGACAGAATTAATTATCTTTTTGGAAATGGAGTCTTACTCTGATGCCCAGGTTGGAGTGCAGTGGCGCACTTCAGCTCACTGCAACCTCCGCCTCCCAGATTCAAGCGATTCTCCCACCTCAACCTCCTGAGTAGCTGAGATTACAGGCATCCGCCACCATGCCCAGCTAATTTTTGTATTTTTAGTAGAGACGGGGTTTCACTATGTTGGCTAGGCAGATCTTGAACTCCTGACCTCAAGTGATCCACCCGCCTTGGCCTCCCAAAGTTCTGGGTTTACAGGCATGAATCACCACGCCTGGCCAGAACAGAATTTATAACTTTTACTTTTTCAGCATTATGCTATCACAATAAAGTTCAGCGTTTGCTTTATTAAGATAGTATTTGAATCTTCTAGGAGATTCAGAAACCTGCAGTACTAGGGAAATTTCAGTTTTAGATATAAAAACAAAATTATAACTTTTAAAGATTTGTATTGTAGAAGATTATCCTTAAGTGTTTTTTAAACTACTAATTTACTATTTCACCCTTCATGCAAATATATGAATTATAAATGATTGATTGTTCCATAGAATATGAAGAGACATTAAATAAATATTAAAATATTTATAAAGTTTTGGTTAAAATGAGCACAATTTCTTCTCGAAAAAATTCACTGCCAGCCTGGGCAACATAGGGAGACACTGTCTCTACAAAAATAAAAAAATAAAAATTAGCCAGGCATGGTGGTGTGTTCGTATAGTCCCACTACTGGAGAGACTGAGTCAGGATGATCAATTGAGCCCAGAAGTTGGAGGCTGCAGTGAGCTATGATCATGCCACTGCATTCCAGCCTGGGCGATGGAGTAAGACCTTGTCTTTAAAAAAAAATGCATTGCTCAAACAGAAAATGTTGAAACAAATTCTGGAGTAATATAAACATAATAATTTTTAAAAGGCAAGGTGTGTATATTTTACATATAAATATGTATATTTTATAGTATAGGGTTTACAAACTATGAGTCAGATCATGAGACAGATTTATTTTTGCAGACTAATTTACTGTTGAGAGGGCTTAGGGAAAAAAGGAAAATAATGCAAAATGTTCAAGTCCAGAAATGTTATTTCATTTTTAATATTTCTTAGAATGTTTTGCGTGGAAGTGGATGTATTGGTTTCTCTTATTGCCATGCTTGGTGCACCTGCTCGTAATCACTTTTGTTGTGCCTTTTGCCATAAATTGTTACCTAATCTCACTAATGACTTTAAGAAAATTGAAGGTGGGTGTTAGAAAGATTATAGGTAATATTAAAGAATATAAGGCAGGCATGGTGGTGTGTACCTGTAGTTCCAGCTACTCGGAAAGCTAAGGCAGCAGGATCACTTGAGCCCAGGAGTTGAATACAGCCTGGGCAACATAGACTCTGTCCCTATTTCTAAAATTAAAAAAAAAATACACACACAAACACATACAATGTAAAATAAAGAAAAGAGAGTAACCCGAAATTTAAGAGGAGAATTATGAGGAAAAACAGAGTAAAAAATGAAATTTGGATCAAGAAATGACTAGGTAAGTTAGACCCATGGCACTGTAATCACAACTTTTTTACCATAGCAGATCAGGTATTTTGCGATCTGTCCCCTATCTCATCTTTGAACTCATCTTGTACCAAAGTCTTTCTCTCCAATTAGGTACCAGCCACCCTTGCCTTCTTTTAGGTAATTGTCTGTAAGGTTGAGTCTACATATCATAGACAAATAATTTTTATTTCCACACCCCACCCTCAGCCTCACCTAACCAGACCTGCCTGTTCAAACTGTGTCCCTACCACACATAGTAGGCCCTCAAATATTGGTTGAATAAGTAAATGGAAAACGCAAAAATGGAGGCATTAAGGATGAGAAAACTTGAGGACACAGAAGACGTATTAGATTTTGAATGATATCGATGATAAAATACAATCAGATGTTGCTCTTAGAAGCATATGATCCCTAAAGGATAGAAAATGACTCATTTATTATTTACTCAGCCCATAATTATTAATTAGTCACCCACTATATTTGGATTTAAGAGTGGAAATTACCAGTGAAGACGGTATAGCTCCAATAACAGTGTAAGTAAAGAGACAGAAAGACATGGGGAAAAGATAATCACTAGTACAAACGGTTCAAGAGTCACCTCATACTTGATGTTGCCTCCTCAGCATGTGTGGTTTACAAGCGGTCCCACAAAGATCAATGATCTGCTAGAGCAAGCGTGATACATGCCATTGTCTGAATCTCAGTGCAGCTTTGTACTTTTCAACATAATAACTCTTCTGAATTGATCAAGAAGAAAGCAGCTTTAATAAATGTTGAAAGGAGTTAATTTGGGGTTTGGATGTATGATTCAAGGGACGACCAGGGGCCTCTACAAATATTCCAGTTTGTGGGCTTGTGAGTCTTAAAGAATTCTAAGAATAGCAAGAGTCTATCATATATCATAAACAGAAGGGAACAAAAAAGTCACATAAATCCAGAAACATAGTGAATTCCTGATAGAAGTGTTTAAACTCTATGCAGCAGTAGTAAACTAGCTTGAACTTAGCTAAGAGTGAAATAATGAAGGATGTAACTATGCAAGATAGACTGCAGTGGAGACACTAAGCCCCTGCTTCATAGAGCTCACATTCCAGTGAAGGGCACCAACAGAAAACAAAGAGGGAAAATATATACATTATGTTAGGTGGTGGTCTTAAGGAGAAAAAATGAAGCAGTTAAAGAGGTTAGGAAGTGGTTTTTGGGAGTGTGGGAGAGTGGTAAAAGTTTAGATAGGGTGGCCAGGGAAGCCTTTACTCAGCTGCCATTTGCTAACAACCTTTATGCAGCGAGGAAGATAGCCATTTGGATATCTGAGGGAGGAACATTTCAGACATACAGAAGGGTGAACACCAAGTCCCAGAGGCAGGCATCTGCCATGGTGTTTGAGGAATAGCAGGGGAGCCATCAGGCTAGAGAAGTCTGAAGGAGGAGCTGTTGCAACTGAGGGCGGAGAGGCGATGGGTCCAGATCATAAAGTGATTGTTGGTCCTCTTAAGGATTTTGGTTTTTCCTCAGAGTGAGATGAGATGGGAAGTATTGGAGACTATTGAGCAGAGGAGACATGAGCTGACTTTAATAGGATGACTCTGACTGCAGGCTTGTGACCTGATTGTAACAACAAATGTTTTTCTCTTTTTTTGTTTTTTATTTTTTGATACAGAGTCTCTAGGAACTCCAGCTCTGTTCCCTGGGCTGGAGTGCAGTGGCCCAATCTCAGCCCACTGCAACCAATGCCTCCTCTGTTCAAGGGATTCTCCTGCCTCAGCTTCCCAAGTAGCTTGGAATACAGGTGCGTATCAGCATGCCTGGATAATTTTGTACATTTTTTTAGAGATGGGGGCAGGTCTTCCTATGTTGCCCAGGCTGGTCCCAAACTCCTGGCCTCCAGTGATCCTCCCGACTTGACCTTCCAAAGTTCTAAGATTACAGGCATGAGCCATGTCGCCTGACCATTTTTTTTATTTTATATTTTCTCTTTTTTAGAGATGGGGATCTCACTATGTTGACCAAGCTGGCCTTGAACTCCTCGCCTCAAGTGATCTTCCCATCTCAGTCTCCCAAAGTGCTGGGATTACAGGCATGAGCCACTGTGCCTGGCCTCTTTGTTTTTGTCAAGTTTTTGAGGTGTAAGTGTTCTTTATATACTCAATATTAAGCAATACCCTGTCTCTTAAAAACAAAATGATACAGCCAAGCGTGGTGGCTCATACCTGTAATCTCAGCATTTTGGGAGGCCGAGGTGGGTGAATCACCAGAGGACAGAAGTTCGAGACCAGCCTGGACAACCTGGTGAAACTCCATCTCTACTAAAAATACAAAATTGGCTGGGTGTGGTGGAACATGCTTGTGATCCCAGGAACTTGGGAGGGTGAGGCAGGAAGAATTGCTTGAATTTGGGAGGGAGAGGTTGCAGTGAGCCGAGATCATGTCACTGCACTCCAGCGTTGGACAACAAAATGGGATCTCCATCTCAAAAAAAAAGCTATTAGTCCCTTACCAGATATACGATTTGCAAATATTTTCTTACTTTCTGTAGGTTGTCTTGTCTTGATACTGTATGTCATTTTTTATGCTCTTTTATTTTTTGTTCTTACTGTTTCCTCTTTTATTTGTCTAAGCACTTTAACTAATATTCTTTTGCGTGCTATATAATCATTCAAGTGGCTGAAATCCAACTAACCCATTTTTCTCCTATTGACTATTCCTCATGACGGATTATTTCTTCAGATATTTGGTAACATTTGCTTAACTGGTTTTAAATTATGAAAATTGAGAAAGATTCTTTACTTCGTGAAACTTTGGTCAGGCTCCTAAACCTTCTCTGGAAAGGAATTGAATGGAATGGAATGGAATGGAGATGAATGGAATGGATTCCAATGAAATGGAATGGAATGGAGTCGAATGGAAAGAAACGGACTTGAATGGAATGGAATGGAATGGAATGGACTCAAGTGGAATGGAATGGACTTGAACGCAATAGAATGGAATGGAATGGACTCGAAAGGAATGGAATGGAATGAACAGGAATGGAATGGAATGGAATGGAATGGAATGGAAAAGTGGAATGGAATGGACTGTAACGGAATGCAATAGACTGGAGTGATATGGAATAGAAAGGATTCGAATGGAAAGGAATGGACTCTAGTGGAATGGAATGGAATAGAATAGGCTCGAATGGAATGGAGTGGAATGGATTCGAATCAAATGGAATGGAATTGAATGGATTCTAGTCAAACGGAATGTAATGGTATGGAATGTACGCGAACGGAATGGAATGGAATGGAATGGACTCGAATGGAATGGAATGGAATGGAACGGACAGGAATAAAATGGAATGGAAGAGATTGGAATGGATTGGAATGGAATTGAATGGAATGCAATGGACTCGAATGCAATGGAATGTACTCGAATGGAATGGAATGGAATGCAATTGAATGAACTCGAATGGAATAGAGCAGAATTTACTGGATTGGAATATAATGGTACAGACTCTAATGGAATAGAATGGAATGGATTCAAATGGAATAGAATGGAATGGAATGGACTCGAATGGAATGGAATGGAATGGACACAAAAGGTATGGAATGGAACGGGATGGAATGGAATGGACTGGAATGGAAGGGAATGGAGTGGAGTGGAATGCAACGGAATGGACTTGAAGGGAATAGAATGGAATGGAAAGGAATGGACTCGAATGAAATGGAATGGAAAGGACTCAAATGCAATAGAATGGAATCGAATGTAATGTAATGCAATTGAATGGACTCGAATGGAATGGACTCAAGAGGAATGGAATGGAGTGGACTCGAAAGAAATGGAATGCAGGGGAAGGAACTCGAATGGCATGCAATGGAATGGAATAGACTCGAATGGAATGGAATGCAATGGACTCGAATGGAGTGGAAAGGAATGGACGCGAATGGAATGGAATGGAATGGAGAGGAATGGAATATAATAGAATGGAATGGAATAGAATGGAATGGAATAGAAAAGAATGGAATGGATTTTAATCGAATGGAATGGAATGGAATGGACTCGAATGGGGTGGAATGGACTCGAATGGAATGGAATGGAATGGAATAGATTCGAGTGGAATATAGTGGAATAGTCTCGAATGGAATTCAAAGGAATAAACACCAATGGAGTGGAATGGACATGAATAGAAAGGAAAGGAAATGACTCGAGTGGAATGGAATGGAAAGCAATGGAAAGGAAAACAAATGACTTGAGTGGAATGGAATGGAATGAAATGGAATGGAATGCAATGTTCTCGAATGCAATGGAATGGAATTGACTCGAATAGAATTGAAAGGAATGGACTCGAATAGAATGGAATGGAATGGAATGGGATCGAAAGCAATGGAGTGAAGTGGACTGGAATGGAATGGAAAGGACTTAAATGGACTGGAATCGAATGGAATGCAACGGAATCGAATGGGATGGAATGGAATGGAATGGAATGGGATGGAATGAAATGGAATGGAATGCAATGGGATGCTATGGTATGGATTGGAATGGACTTGAATGGAATAGAAAGGGATGGAATGGAATGGAATGAATTTAAAAACAATGGAATGGAATCCAATGGAATGGAAAGGCCACGAATGGAATGGAATGGAATGGAATGGACTCGAATGGAAAAGATTGGAGTTTAGTGGAATGGAATCTAATGGAATGGAATGGAATGGATTCGAATGTAATAGAATGGAATCGAATGGAAAGGAATGTTCTGTAATGGAATGGAATGGAATGGAATGGAATCGAATGCAATGGAATTTAAAGGACTCGATTGCAATGGAATGTACTCGAATGGAATGGAATGGAAAGGAAACAACTCGAGTGGAATGAAATGGAATGGAATGGAGTCGCATGTAATGGAATGCAATTGAATGGAATCAAATGGAATGGAATGGAATTGACTCGAATGGAATTGAATGGAATGGACCAGAATGGAATTAAATGTAACGGAATGGACACGAATGAAATGGACTCGAATGGAATGGAAAGGAATGGAATGGAATGGAATGGAATGATTTCGAATCAAATGACATGGAATGGACTCGAATGGAATGGGTTGGGATTGGATGGTCTCGAATGTAATGGAATGGAATGAACTCAAATGGAATGGAATGGAATAGAATAGACTAGAATATAATGGAATGGAAATGGCTCGAAAGGAATGGAATTGATTCGAGTGGAATAGAATGGACATGAAAGGAATAGAATGGAATGGACTCAAATGGAATGGAATGCAATGGACTCAAATGGAATAGAGTGGAATGGAATGGAATCGAACACAATGCAATGGAATGGACTCGAACAGAATGGAATGGACTCCAGTGGAATGGAATGGAATGGTATGGTCTCAAAAGGAATGGAATGGAACGGAACAGACACAAATGGAATAGCTTGGAATGGAATCGAATCTAATGGAGTGGAATGGAATGGATTCGAATGGAATGGCGTGTAATGGAATCGAACGGAAAGGAATGGAATTGAATGGACTCCAATGGAATGGAATGGAATTGAATGGACTCAAAATGAATGGATGAGAATGGAATGGAATGGAATGGAATGGAATGGACTCGAATAGAATGGAAGGGACTCGAATGGAGTGGAGCCGAATGGATTCGAAAGGAAGGTAATGGAATGGAATGGAAAGAACTCGAATGTAATGGAATGGACTCGAATGGAATGGAAGGGACACAGAGTGTAGCCGAATGGATTTGAATGGAATGGAATGGAATGAACTCGAAGGGAATGGAATGGAACTGAATGAAATGGACTCGAATGGAATGGCATGGAATGGAGTCGATGGAATGGAATGGAATGGAATGGCATAAAATGGAATGGAATGGAATCGAATGTAATGCAGTTGAATAGAATGTACCTGAAAGGAATGGAGTGGACTGGAATGGAATGAAATGGACTTGTATGGAATGGAATGGAATGGAATGGAAGGGAACGGACTCAAATGAAATGGAATGGACACGAAACGAATGGAATGGAATAGAATCGACTAGAGTGGAATGGAAAGGAATGGACTTGAATGAAATGGAATGCAGAGGAATGGACTGGAATGGAATGCAATGGAATGAAATAAACTCGAATGGAATGGAATGGAATGGAATGGACTCGAATAGAATGGGATGGAATGGACCTGTATGGAATGGAATGGAAGGGAAGGGAACAAAACGGAAAAGAATAGATTGGAATAGAATGGAATGGAATGGAGTGGACTCAAATGGAATGGAATGTAATGGACTCGAATGGAATAGAATGGAATTTACTGGATTGGAAACTAACAGAATTGAGTCTAAAGAAATGGAATGGAATGGACTCGAATGGAAGCGAACGGAATGGAATGGACTTGAATGGAATGGAATGGAACGGAATGGAACTGAATGGAATGGAGTTGAATGCAATAGAATGGAATGGAATGGACTCGAATTAAATGGAATGGAATGGAGTCAAATGGAATGGAATGCAATGGAATGGAATGGAATGGACTCAAAAGGAATGGAATGGATTGGAATCAAGTGGAATGGAATGGACTCGAATGCAATGGAATTGAATGGAATGGAATCGAATGAAATGGAGTGAAATGGACAAAAATGGAATGGAATGGAATGGAATGGAATGGAATGGAATGGAATGAAATAGAATGGAATGGAATGGACTTGAATGGAATAGAATGGAAAAGAATGGAATGGACTCGAATGATATAGAATAGAAAGGACTCGAATGGAATGGAATATACGCTAGTGGAGTGGAATGGAATAGAATGGAATCAAATGGAATGGAGTGGAATGGAATTCAATGGATTCGATTCAAACGGAATGTAAAGGAATGGAATGGACTCGAATGGAATGGAATGGAATGGGCTTGAATGGAATGGAATGGAATGGAAAGGAATAAAATGGAATGGAATCGAATGGAATGGAATGAAATGGACACGAAAGTTACGGAATGGAATGCGATAGAATGGAAGGGACTGGAATGGAAGGGAATGGAATGGAGTGGAATGGAACGGATTGGACTTAAATGGAATAGAATGGAAAGGAAAGGAATGCACACAAAGGAAATTGAATGGAAAGGACTCAAATGCAATGGAATGGATTCAAATGGAATGATATGGACTTGAATGTAATGGAAAGGAATGGACTCAGGTGGAATGGAATGGATTGGACTCGAATGAAATGGAATGCATGGGAAAGAACTCGAATGGCATGCAATGGAATGGAATAGACTCGAATGGAATGGAATGGAATGGACTCGAATGGAGTGGAATGGAATGGACATGAATGGAATGGAACGGAATGGAATGGAATAGAATGTATTGGAATGGAATGGAGAGGAATGGAATGGAATGGAATAGAATGGAATGGATTGGAATAGAATGGAAAAGAATGGAATGGAATAGAAAAGGAATGGAATGGATTTTAATCGACTGGAATGGAATTGAATGGAGTCGAATGGAGTGGAATGGACTCGAATAGAATGGAATGGAATGGAATGCACTCGAGTGGAATAGAGTGGAATTGACTCGAATGGAATTCAATGGAATGAACTCCAATGGAATGGAATGGACCCGAATGGAATAGAATGGAATGGAATTCAAACGACTTGAGTGGAATGGAATGGATTGCAAAGGAATGGAAAGGAAATTAGTGGAGTGGAATGGAATGGATTGGAATGTACTCGAATGGAATGGAATGGAATTTACTCGAATGGAATAGAAAGGAATGGACTCGAATAGAATGGAATGGAAAGGAATGGACTCGAATGCAATGGAGTGGAATGGACTCCAATGGAATGGAAAGGAATTGACTCAATTGGAATAGAATGGAATGGAATAGACTCTAAAGGAATGGAATGGAATGGACACGAAACGTATGTAATGGAATGGGATGGAATGGAATGGACTGGAATGGAAGGGAATGGAAAGGACAGGAATGGAATGGAATGCTATGGGATGGTAAGCTTTGGATTGGAATGGACTTGAATGGAATAGAAAGGGATGGACTGGGATGAATTTAAACAGAATGGAATGGAATGGGATGGACTCCAATGGAATGGAAAGGCCACGAATTGAAAGGAATTGAATGGAACAGACTCGAATGCAATAGATGGAAATTTAGTGGAATGGACTCTGAAGGAATGGAATGGAATGGAATTGAATGTAATAGAATGGAATGGAATGGAAAGGAATGTAATTTAATAGAATGGAATGGAATCAAATGGAATGGAATTTAAAGGACTTCAATGGAATGAAATGTACTCAAATTGAATGGGATGGAATGGAAACGACTTGAGTAGAATGAAATGGAATGGAATGGAATCGAATGTAATGGAATGGGATTGAATGGACTCGAATGGAATGTAATGGAATGGAATGGCATGGTCTCAAAAGGAATGGCATGCAATGCAGTTGAATGGACCCAAATGGAATGAAATGGAATTGACACGAATGGAATTGAATGGAATGGAACGGAATGGAATTAAGTGTAATGGAATGGACGTGAATGAAATGGAAATAAATGGACTCGAATGGACTCGAATGGAATGGAATGGAAAGGAATGATTTCAAATCAAAGGACATGGAATAGACTCAAACGGAATGGGTTCGGATTGGATGGTCTCGAATGTAATAGAATGGAATGGACTCAAATGGAATGGAATGGAATAGAATGCCCTCGAATATAATAGAATGGAATTGGCTCGAATGGAATGAAATTGATTCGAGTGGAATGGAATGGTCACGAGTGGAAGAGAATGCAATGGATTCGAATGGAATGGAGTGGAATGGAATGGACTCTAATGGAATGGAATGGACTCAAATGGAATATATTGGAATGGAATGGACTTGAATTCAATGGAATGGAATGGACTTGAATGAAATGAAATGGACTCGAATGGAAAGAAATGGACTCCAGTGGAATGGAATGGAATGGTAAGGTCCCAAAAGGAATGGAAAGGAATGGAACGGATTCAAATGGAATAGAATGGAATGGACTCGAATCTAATGGAGTGGAATTGAATGGACTCATATGGAATGGAGTGTAATGGAATTGAGAGGAATGGAAAGGAATTTAAAGGACTCAAATGGAATGGAATGGAATTGAATGGACCCAAAAGTTATGGATAGGAAAGGAATGGAATGGAATCAAATGGAAAGGAATGGAATGGACAGGAATGGAATGGAAGGGACTCGAATGGAATGGAATTGAAAGGAATCCACTCGAGTGAAAAGGAATTGAATGGAATGGAATGAAAGTGAATGGAATGGAATGGAATGGAATTCACTCCAATGGAATAGAATGGAATGGACTCGAAGGGAATGAAATAGAATGCAATGGACTCGAATGGAATACAGTGGAATGGAACAGAATGGAAAAGAATGGAATGGAGTCCAATGGAACGACGTGGAATGGAATGGACAAGAATGGAATTGAGTGGAATGGACGCGAAAGGAGTGGAATGGAATTGAAAGGACAGGAATGAAATGTAATGGAATGCAATGGAATGCAATGGAATGGAATGGAACGGAATGGAATGCAATGAAATGGAAAGGAATGGAATGGAATCAAATGGAATGGAAAGGAATGGAATCGAATGGAAAGGAACGTAATGGAATGAAATGAGATCGAATGCAATGGAATGCAGTGGAATGGGCAGGAATGGAATAGAATGGAAACGAAAAGAATGTAATGGAATGTAATGGACTCCAATGGAAATCAACCGAATTGAATGGACTCGAAAAGAATGGAATGGAATGGAATGGAGTGGAATGATATGGACTAGAATAGAATGGAATGGAATAGAATGGAAAGGAATGGTTTCAAATGGAAGTGAATGGAAAGCAATGGAATGGACCCAAATGGAATGGAATGGAATTGACTCAATTGGAATAGAATGGAATGGAATAGACTCTAAAGGAATGGAATGGAATGGACACGAAACGTATGGAATAGAATGGGATGGAATGGAATGGACTGGAATGGAAGGGAATGGAACGGAGTGGAATGGAAGGGAATGGAACGGAGTGGAATGGAAAGGAATGGAATTGAATGGAATAGAAGGCAATGGAATGGAATGGATTCCAATGAAGTGGAATGGAAAGGAATCGAATGCAACAGAATGGATTCGAATGGAATGGAATGGAATGGAAAGGACTCAAAAGGAATGGAACGGAATGGACTCAAGTGGAATGAAATGGAATGGACTCGAATGGAATAGAATGGAATGGAATGGAATGTACTCGAATGGAATGGAATTGAATGGACACGAATTGAATGGAATGAACTGGAATGGAATGGAATGGAGTGGAATGGAAAGGAATGGACATGAAGTGAATAGAATGGAGTGGAATGGAATGGACTCGAATGAAATGGAATGGAAAGGACTTGAATGCAATGGAATGGACTCGAATGGGATGTAATGGATTGGTATGGACTCGAACAGAATGGAATAGAATGGACTAAAGAGGAATGAAATGAAATATATTCGAATGGAATATAATGGAAGGGAAAGGGCTTGTATGGAATAGAATGGACACGAATGGAATGGAATGGAATGGAGAGGAATGGAATGGAATGGAATGGAATGGAACGGAAAGGAATGGAATGGAATGGAATGGGCTAGAATGGAAGAGAATGGAATGGAATGGAATGCACTCGAATGAAATGCAATGCAATGGACTCGAATGGAATGGAATGGACACGAGTGGAATGGAATGGAATCGAATAGACCAGAATTGAAAGGAATCAAATGGAATTTAATGGCATGGAATGGAATGGAATGGAATGGAATGAACTTGAATGGAATGCAGTGGAATGGATTCGAATGGAATGGATTGGAATTGAATGGACTCGAGTCGAACGGAATGTAATAGTAAGGAATGGACTCGAATGGAATGCAATGGAATGGAATGGAATGAAAGGGACTCAAAGAAATGGAATGGAATGGAATGGACTCAAAAGAAATGGAATGTAAAGGACTCGAATGGTAAGGAATGGACTCGAATGTAATGTTTTAGAATGGAATATACTCGAATGGAATGGAATGCAATGGACTCAAGTGGAATGGAATGGAATGGACTTGAATGGAATAGAATGGAAAGTACTCGAATGGAATGGAATGGAATGGTCATGAATGGAATGGAAAGAATTGGAATCGAATGGACTGGAATGGAATGGAATGGACTGAACTGGAATGGAATGGAATGGAGAGGAATGGAAAGGAATAGACATGAATGGAAAAGAATGGAGTGGTATGGAATGGACTCGAATGAAACGGAATGGAAAGGATTGAATACAATGGGATGGAATCGAATGGAATGTAATGAATTGGAATGGACTCCAATGGAATGGAATGGACTAAAGAAGAATGAAATGAAATATATTCGAATGGAATATAATGGAAAGGAAAGGGCTCGTATGGAATGGAATGGACACGAATGGAATGTAATGTAATGGAATGGAATGGAGTGGAATGGAATGGACTGGAATGGAATGGAATGGAAAGGAATTGAAAGGAATGGAATGGGCTAGAATGGAATAGAATGGAATGGAATGGAATGAACTCAAATGAAATGGAATGGAATGGACTCAAATGGAATGGAATGGACAAGAGTGGAATGGAATAGAATCAAATGGAATGGAATGGACAAGATTGGAATGGAATAGAATCAAATGGAATGGAATGGAAAGGAATCGAATGGAATTTAATTGAATGGAATGGAATGGACTCGAATGGAATGCAGTGGAATGGATTCGAATGGAATGGAATGGAATTGAATGGACTCGAGTCGAACGGAATGTAATAGTAAGGAATGGACCCAAATGGAATGGAATGGAATGAAAGGGACTCGAAGAAATGGAATGGAATAGAATGGACTCGAATGAAATGGAATGGAAAGGACTCCAATGCAAAGGAATGGACTCGAATGGAATGGAATGGAATGGAATGGACTCGAATGGAATGGAATGGAATGGACTCAAGTGGAATGGAATGGAATGGACTCGAATGGAATGGAATGGAATGGACTCGAATGGAATGGAATTGAATAGACATGAATGGAATGGAATGAAGTGGAATGGAATGGACTTGAATGGAATGGAATGGAATGGACTGGAATGGAATGGAAAGGAATGTAATGGAGTGGAATGGAAAGGAATGGACATGAATGGAATAGAATGGAGTGGTATGGAACGGACTCGAATGAAACGAAATAGAAAGGATTGAATATAATGGGATGGACTCGAATAGAATGTAATGGATTGGAATGGACTCGAATGGAATGGAATGGAATGGACTGGACTCGAATGGAATGGCATGCATTGAACCCGAATGGAATGGAATGTTATGGAAAGTAATGGACTCGAATGGAATGGAACGGAATGGAATTCACCCAAATGAAGTGGAATGGAATGCGATGGAGTCGAATTGAATGGAACGCAATGGACACGAATGGAATGGAATGGAATGGTATGGACTAGAATGGACTGGAATGGAATAGTTTAGAATGGAATTGACGCGAATGCAATGGAATGTAATGGACTCAAAAGGAATGGAGAGGACTCAAACGGAATGGAATGGACTGGGCTCAAATGGAATGGAATGGAATTGAATGGACTCAAATGGAATGGAAAGTAACGGAATGGAATGAACTCGAATGGAATGGAATGGACTCGAATGGAATAGAATGGATATGAATGAGATGGAACGGAATGGGCTAAAATAGAATGGAATGGAATGGAATCGACTCGAATGAAATGGAATGCAGTGGAATGGACTGGAATGGCATGCAATGGAATGGAAGAAACTCGAATGGAATCGAATGAACTCGAATGGAAGGGAATGGAATGGTCGCGAATGGAATGGAAAGGAATGGCATGGAATGTAATGGAAAGGAATGGAATAGAATTGATTAGAAAGGATTGGAATAGAATGGAATGGAATGGAATAGACTGAAATGGAATGGAATGCAATGGAGTCGAATTGAATAGAGTGGGATGTACTGGATTGGAATTTAACGGAATTTGACACTAATGAAATGGGATGAAATGGACTCGAATGAAATCGAATGGAGTGGAATGGACTCGTATGGAATGGAATGGAATGGACACGAATGCAATGGAATGGAATTGAATGGAATGGAATGGAATTGAATGGAATGGAATGGAGTTGAATGGAATAGAATGGAATGGACTCGAATAAAATGGAATGGAATGGAGTCGAATGGAATGGAAAGGACTCGAATGGATTAGAATGGCATGGACACAAATGGAATGGATTGGAATGGCATGGACAAGAATGGAGTAGAATGGAATGGACTTGAATGGAATGGAATTGAATGGAATGGACTTGAATGGAATAGAATGGAATGGAATGGAATGGAATGGAAGAGAATCAAAGGGAATGTAATGGACTCGAATGAAATGCAATTGAATGGACTCGAATGGAATGGAAATGACCCGAATGGAATAGAATGGACTCGAATGGAATGGAATGTAAAGGAATGAAATGGAATGGAATGGCCTGTAATGTAATCGAAAGGAATTCAATGGAATGGAAGTTAATGGAATGGAATAAAATGGAATGGACTTGAATAGAATAGTATGGAAACGAATGGAATGGACTCCAATGAAATGGAATCGAATGGACTCTAATGGAACGGAATTGACTCCACTGGAATGGAATGAATTGGAATGGACTCAAATGGAATGGAGAGGAATGGATTCGAATGGAATGGAATGGAATTGACTACAATGGAATAGAAAGGAATGGATTCGAATGGATTTGAATATAATGGAATGGACTCAAATGCAATAGAGTGGAATGTAATCCAATGGAATTCGAATGGAATTGAATGGACTCAAATCAAATGGAATGTAATGGATTGGAATGGACTCGAAAAGAATGGAGCTGAATGGAGTCTAAAGGAATGCAATGGACTCGAATGCAATGGAATGGAATGGACTCGAATGGAGTAGAATGGAATGGAATGGACTTATAAGAAATGGAATTGAACGGACACGAAATGTATGGAAAAGAATGAGATGGAATGAAACGGACTAGAATGGAATGGAAAGGAATGGAATGGAATGGAAAGGAATCGACTTTAATGGAATGTACACGAATGGAATGGAATTGAATGGACATGAATGGAATGGAAAGAAGTGGAATGGAATGGACTGGGATGAAATGGAATGGAATGGAATGAAATTTCTTTCTGGCACAAAAATATCTTCTTTGAAGATTATGGCATTTACCTCTATCTCCACACCTTTTTGCGTCTGTCATCCACAGATCATCAGCCTCTTGCTTAGTCTATTTAATGACAATTTCTATTTAGTATACAACAGTCTTTCCCCCTGCAATGCAATTTCTTCACTCTGAAAAGCTCTGACTCTGGCTAATGGTCTCTGTTATGTACTCATCCCTAGAGCCATGTCTTCAAATATTTCTCAGAACTTCTTCACATCTAAAAATCTAGGATTAATTTATTGCTCTCTGATTATATTCTTCTGGTATTTCAAGTATCGTGTATAACTTCTTCATCTGTCCTTGCTTTTCTTCTACATCAAGATGTCAAGTTCATGGACTTCCCAATTAATCATTTTAAAAATTTATTTCAAGCCTTTATGAGTCACTACAATGTACATATGTTCTCAGGAATTATGGCCCTACAATTTGTATGTGAGAATAGTTCCTGTGTCAGGCATTATGGACATAAGAGTAAATAAATTCTAGCCCCTGCCTACAAGGAGCTAATTCCCAGCCTAAGACAGATTGCAAGCCAATAATTTGCAGAGTTGTAAGTCTAAGGAAACTGATTGGGATGTACCTAATTCGAGCTGGGAATATCAGAAGAAAAACTTTTTGAAAGTCATGAGACATGAGCTATGCCTAAAAGAATAAAAAATAGAGAGAGAAATAAGAATAAATAAATTAGGGAATGAGATGGGTATAATAGTAGAAAAAGGAAATCTCTTTAGATAAAACAGGTTATGAGAGTATATAGGAGGCTTATTAACTCAGTGTGGTTGGAGAAAACAGGTTGAAAGGAGAAATAGGAGAGAAAGTTACAAAGGGAATCAAATGTGTTAGTAGTTGAGGGAAAAGCAAATATTGAATACGACCCATAGATCTTGGATAACCCAGTGTTTGGTAGTAGCTTACATAAAAGGTTGTGACAAAATAACCAGAGGTATGCAGAGAAAATAATAACTGAGTGTTATATTTCCTCTCAGTAGAAACCTAAAAAAAAAAATGTAATCACACCCTGATCTTTTAACTGACCTCCACTTATCTTGATGCCTGGATTGGTATACATATTCCTCTGCCTGAAAAATTGCTCAGCACTTCTGAAAGGTTGTTTCTCACTGTTACACCCAGGCATTTCTGCTAACACCAGCTGAGTTGTAAGGGGTCCTCCAGGAGGCCTAGGTTGTTCTCCTTATCACATATATTATTTTCATTTATCAATTTACCCAGAACATCTAATGAAATATTATGGACACCAATAACATGAATACAAATATAGCTATAGACCCTAAAAAGTAAATTGATGTATCTTGAAAGGCTGTCATGTCTTAGATGTTAAATTTGGAGTATGTGTTTCTAATAAATAAATAGCTTGCTTTAATAATTCTGATTTATGATTGTAACATAGGGGAGCAGCTTTTATTTCGCCCTTAATCTTAAAAAACAATTAGCCGGGTGTGGTGGTGGGCACCTGTAGTCCCAGCTACTCAGGAGACTGAAGCAGAAGGATGGTGTGCACCTGGGAGGTGGAGCTTGCTGTAAGCCAAAATTGTGCCACTGCACTCCAGCCTGAGTGACAGTGTGAGACTCTGTCTCAAAGAAAAAAAAAGATCATACAAGGAGTAAACGATGATTTAGCATAAAACACAACTTTAGCCTAAAACACAGATCATAGGGCTCAAACTTTGTTATTTTATGGGATTATACTAACCAGTTAATATTCAAAATTTACCATTTCAAAAGAAGAAATATTGGTCTGGGAAAATTGCCATTGCTTATACAGAAGAATGGAGGAAGCTTTTTGAGAACAACAGTTCTAATGATCTTCCTCATCACTGGTTCAAAAACCAAGCCCATGGAAGGCCTGCATAGGGATAATGTGGAGAACATGCAAAAGAAATACACATCACCAGCTCCTCAACTCAGAGCTCCAAGGGAATGGCTAAGGAAGCTGTATTGTCCTAAGAAATTTGAGACTGTTTTGACTTACAATAAATCCTGCTCAATCATATGTATGTATACACACACACACACACACACACACACACACACACAGACGGTGTTGTCAGTGAAGCCTCTAACAATGCATCTTGACTGGACAGATTTGACAATTAAAATGGCTGGAAGAAAATAGGCTTCATAAGTGACACTTACTATTCACATTACACATTAAAAGGACATCTCCTAAATTAAATCTTGTCTATGATAAAAAGGCAGAAAATCATGACCCAAGGCTCATTTATAACGGCAGAAATGTTCAAGATATACCAATGCTTGCTATGTTTAGGAACTGACAATAAAGTACAGGTCTTTATAATCTACCATTTTGCCTCATTTGACACCAGGTGACCTTCATAATACAGGCAATAGAGAATTGCAAGATTTGTCAGAGATTTCAGGTCTTTGGAAAGCTATGCTCTTTCACAAGAACAGCCATGGAAACAGGAAGAAAGTCAATTCCCACTTAAGGTAATCAGAATTTACAAATATTCCTTTCTTCATTGAAATCTCAATAGGCACTTCAATATTATATTTAATTAATTCTTTTGTTAAAATCATGCATCACATAGCAACATTTTGGTCAAGGATAGTGCACATGTATGACAGTGGTGCAATAAAATCATAAGACTGTACTTTTACTGTACCTCTTGTATGTTTAGACATGTATAGATACACTTACTGTATAGATATAAGTATAGATATACTTAACTGTTGTGTTACAATTGCCTACAGTATTCAGTACAGTAACATGCTGCACAGGTTTGTAGCCTAGGAGGAATAGGCTATACCACCTAACCTAGGCATGTAATCAGCTATAGCATCTAGGTTTGTGTAAGTAAACTCTGTGATGTTCATACAATAATAAAATTGTCCAGCAATGCATTTCTCAGACACACCCCTGTCATTAAGTGACACATGACTGTATTAGTTAACACTATGGGAACTTCATGGGAAATGAACACTGCAGCTCCACCATAAATAGAAACTGTTTACGTCAAAAAACACATAAAAGCATAGTTGCAAGATTACAATTCCTTCCAGATATTTCATTTAGTATCTCCACAGATCACTCACTGCCTGAATAGCATTCTTGTGTCTCCACTGCCTCACATTCGATTTCAGGTCATTCCATCAATTGTCAAAGACGTATCCAACATTAACTTTCCAACTACTGGTTTGGATTCTGTCAACATTGTCATCCTGGGCCACAACAACACAAAAGGCTAACTCAGTGAGGTAACATAGACACTGATCAGTGAGATTTTGCTGACGGGTGGTACCATTTTTTACTAAGATCAAGGGTATTCATACCTTCAGGCATCTAGATAACATTGAATAGGGCAGGTTCATAGATAAAAAGGGAAAGAGGAAGGGTTTTTGCAGTATACATGAGCTACCGTGTCTCCTGTTTAACCTGAGTCTGAAGAGATTCAAAGTGCAGGTGCCATGAATGCCTCTTTAATAGTTCAATGTCGATGGATTTTCTGGGCTACATTTCCCAGCATTCAAATTGCTAAATGCATATAAACTACTACTGAATATTTATTACCTGGATTTGTGCTTTTGAGTGACCTTATCTATAGTTATGTGCTTCAGTGATCCAACTTGGGGTGGACTCCAAACTTTGATAAATTAAAGACCCTGCTTATTCCTTGAGTAATGCTACACTGACAACTGATTTAGTGAATGCCACTGTGAAAATAATAAACCTCTTGGTGAATATATTTAGACATGTCTTGTAACCTGTACACATCTTAACCAGGGATGTTACTTGGTCTTTCTATGTTCAGGAGTGTGTGGAGATAGAAAAACATACAGGATTGTAATTGTTTCCTGTGAGACTAACAGAAAATTCAAGCTAGTGAAGAATGTTTATGCATGGCACACTTCTCACCAGCAATTTTAGGAAGTTCTACCCACAACCCATATGTCTTTTGATATGTGGGTTACCTTGGAGAGAGAAAAAGAAACTCTGAACACAAGCATGAAATACTTTCGAATTTTATCTAGAGTTGGACTTTTCCAAAAGCTTTTGTATAAACTTGCTTGATGAGCAACTGTTGTCCACTGGTACCTTCACTGTACAATCCACACACAACAAAACTTCACAACTGGACACCTAAATTTGCACTTTGTTTGGTAAAGTTGAATGAAAAATGTTGTCTTTTAAGCTTATGCTCTCTTATGAAAGCTGTTATTAGATTAATTTTACTCCAAGATATGCCAGTTAAGAAATAACTTCCAATTTAATTTCACCAGCTCCCTGTGAGTGGACTAATTACTCACACATCACACTTACTCTGGTGGTGAAATGCCTCAAAAGAAGGTCTCCAGAGTGTTGCTCTACCTAGAAGGACAAGAATGAAGAGACATAAAAATCATTCATTAAGAAGGAAGAAGATTTTCCTTGCCTAGATTTTCACTTGTAGGATCCAATTAATTTTATCACTTAATATTTTGTCCTGGTGGGCATTCACTTTACAAATTTGTAAGGTCAGTAGAAATGGAAACTTTTGGAAATCGAACTGTAAATGTTCTGTAGACATTGACAGAAATAGCTATTTGGAGCTGTGCTTTTGCCAACTAGACACTCTGAGAAAATCTGTGAGAGGATATTTTCAGGAAGTCATTGAACCCCCTAAAAATCAAGTTTATTGCTTTTACCATAAATATAAATAATTAATTTATTATCAACCACTTTCAATATTCCAATAAGTAACCTTTATTGTTTATTTCATTGACATGATCTACATAGACACACAATTTATCTTCTTTTACGATACATTCAGAAAATTGCTGCCTGGAAAAGCCATGTTTTAAAATTACCACCTGTTTGATGACTTGTTTTTGTACTTTAAGTTTTAGGGCATATGTGCACAACCTACAGTTTAGTTACATATGTATACATGTGCCATGTTGGTGTGCTGCACCCATTAACTCGTCATTTAGCATTAGGTATATGTCTTAATGCTATCCCTCCCCCCTCCCCCACCCCACAACAGGCCCTGGTGTGTGATGTTCCCCTTCCTGTGTCCATGTGTTCTCACTGTTCAATTCCCACCTATGAGTGAGAACATGCAGTGTTTCATTTCCACTTAAGTATCTATCTCTATTTGTCCTTTATTTTCATTTCCATCCTAGCTCTATCCCTTGTCTCCTTCGTGTGTCTCAGTATAAGTGCCCTATAACATTTTATATTTCTGGAAACCCTTCAATATAAAGTTATTACATGTAAAAATAAAAAGTCTGTTTTAGCGAACTTTTTCTTCACAAATTATATTTTCCTACTTCCCTATTAGACAATTTTTGTAGGCTCCATATGCTATTAATTTACATTCACTTTTAGAAGAATTTTCATCAAAAGCAAAAGTCTTATGTAAATTGATTATATGTTATTTCTACTTCTATGTATATATACGCACATAGCCACATACATATATGTAACTCCAGAGGCCTGCCTGGACTGTTTGATAACTGTATTGAACAACAGCAAGAAAAAGCTGTTCAAATTTCAAACAACAAGTTGAACTGAAGACTTCACATCTTTGAATTAAATAGACACTAGTAGCCTTTAAAAATTAAGCATTTCTACTGTTTTAAAAAATTATAGCCATCATAGTATGAGGAAAAAATGTAATAATCTTTTTTAATTCTTGCCATTTTATTAACCACGGACTCCTTATGCCCTAACTTCATTGGTACCCCTTTGAGATTAAACAGAACACTTAATTTAAAATTCTGATAAATAAATTAATTACAGCATTTACTTGAGGTACTCTTTCACCTTTCAAGAAATATTTTGAGAATTCATTAGCTAAATATTGCTATAATGCAGGCTAGTAATAAACGGAAAGAATGAATTCATTGTAAAGTTTAAACTAATGATGGTATGATCTGGAATTTTTGTTAACTTAGAAGACATAATTAGCTTTAGAGGTGAAATGAAAGACAAAATCACTTCACATATTAGTAAAAAACAAATAATATAACTTTATAAGCTACTGCTGTTCTTTTGCTATTAAGAACCAATGACATCTGTAATTAGGGAAGATTATGGAAAGATTAAAGATGAGAATACATGCAGTCTATCTACAGGAAACCTAAACTGTTTAGGTTAAGGAAATGTTTGAGAAAGTCATATTAATTAGCAGGTTCACAGGAAACTAACATTTATTGTATAAATTGCATGGTAAAATATATTAGGGCTCCATGCACACAACTATGTGCCATCTACGTTACCACACGGTGCTTACTTCTTTCAGTCTTTATTCATTTCTCTCCTAATGGTCTGTATGGTATTATTACATAGTTCTAAAAACCTTCCATGAGGCAGAAATTTCATTTAATCATATAGCTTCAAAAATAATGAAAAACAGTAGAAAATTTCTATTTTTTTATGAAGCAGAATTGTTGAATTTTCAGTTTCATTTATTTAATATTACAAGATGACAAACATATTTCTTTAACTCCATCTTTTTATTTTTGTCTAACATCAACCACAGCCATTTCTTTCATTTGAAGTTGAAAACTGCTCATCAAAATCCAGTTTAAGCTGAGAAACAAAGAACTAAATTTTGCATGAGAGATTATACACTGCATAAGTAAAAAACAGGACCAGAAACAATGGTGGATTAGCAATTTTTAAAAAGACAAAAACAGGTTATCATCAAATCAATTGTTACCAACACACCAATTCCACCTCTAGGACAGAAAATTAGCCACTTACCCACGGGAAAACAATGATTGAAGACAAAGTTCACCAGTGAAAGTTGGTTATTTTTTTCCATCCTTGCATCAACTAAAATGATATCTACAGTTCCTCTTAACACTTTTCTGAGTTTCAAATATGTGGGTATGCTTCATTAGCTGAAGCCATTTTCCATATGTACATCTGGCTACAAGGGAAACTGGGAATGTGAGCCCTGATCCTAATGTTTGTAGAGTATTTAGAAATTTGAGAATTCCCTCCAAATAAAGAGTTTTTTAAAACATTGTTAGACAAAAAGTTTGAATTACAAAATGTGGTAGTAGCTCAGGTCTAACTCAAATGCAGGGAAAAAAACTATTAACTGTAAAAAAAATTAAATACACATTTGATGGCAATGAGAAACAGAAAACAGGCAGAAATAGTAGAATATTCAACCACTGATGAAGTATTTGACCATTGAATAAAGAAAATTGCAATGATTTAAATTTGCATCAGTGCAACTTCACACCTCATGACGCTTCCCAGTCTGTGCAAAATTAGATGTCTACGAGTAAAGTGGTGAGTTTTACTAGCTTGAGGAATACGAGCACAGAGTTCCAGGCTGACAGAAAAGAAGAACTGGGAAATTTGAATGACATGGGAGGAAATCTCACACAACTGAAAGTCACAGAGGAGAATGTCACAGAGTAAAAATCTAAAATCAGCACTTCAACTTCATTCAGATATATGATGGCTGCTACATTTCACATTCATAAAAAGAGACTCCATAGAATCCAGCAGAAAACAACAGCTAAATTGCTAGTACAGAGCAGAGATTTCAACCATTGCATATAGCTCAGGAGTGAAAGTTTGGTGTTTGACTACAGAAAAAAGACTAATGTTAGAAAAGAGTCACTCTTCAAACGAAAATAGAAGAACCTATCTCTACAAAATATCATACACATAATCTAACATATAATTTAACCTGCCTAGACATAAAACCAGGAAAATATGACACATAACAAAAAAAGGAAACAATGGATTAAGACAGTGAAATGGCCCACATGCTGGGATTAGAAGATAAGAAATTTAAAATAAGCTATTGCAAGCATATTCAAGGATTTAAGGAATAGATGGTCATAAGAGGGAATATATGGAGAATCTCAACAGAGAAGTAAAAACGATAAAGAGATAACAGGACAAATTTTAGAACTGAGAGACTGAATATCTTATATAAAAATGTCATTGTATGCACATACCAGTAAATTAAAGATGGCAGAAAAAACTATCAGTGCACTTAAAAACAGATCAAGAACAATTTCCCAATACAGTTAATACAAAGGAAGAAAAATAATAAAAATAGGGCCAGTCTAGCACTAATATAATTGGACTCCTAGAAAGAGTAGAGAAGAAAATGAGACAGAAAAAGCTATTTGAAAAAGTAAAGACCAAAAGTTTTCCTAATTGTCAGCATATATCAATTTACAGGCTTAAGAAACTCAAAGAACAAAATAAAAATAAAGAGAACCAAATGTAGACATACCATAGTCAAACCACTGGGCAAAAAAAGAGTAAATCTTGAAAGTAGCTAAAGGGAGGGAGAAAATAATTTACATACGTGGAAACAAATAGACAGATGACCTGTCATCAGAAATGACACTTTAAAAAGCAATGAAACTACATCTTCAAAATAAAACTGTCAACTCCAAATTCTATAACTAGAAAAAGTAATTCTTGAGAAAAGAAAGATTTATTCAGATAAAAGAAAGCTTCGAACAATTGTCATTAGCAGACTTAGATACAAGAAATGCAAACGGAAATTTTTTAGGCTAAAGAAAGATAACAACAGATGGAAATTCTGACCTACAGGAAGCAAGGAGAAGCTCTAGGAATGGCATGTGCATAAACATGAAAAACTAAGGCTTTTTTCTTTTAGTTTTATAACAAACAACTGATGGTTTGAATAAAAAATTAAGTGTACTATTGATAATGTATGTAAAATATTCTAAATTAATAGCTCTGACAGAAGACTAAACGCAACAATCTTACCGCAACTTTTCTTTATGTTACATGAAAACGCTGACTATTAATACTAAGTGGACTGCGATAAGCCCAGGATATTTATTATAATCCCTAGAGAACCACCACATTATATGAAGATATTCTTCTAAAATGCCAATAAAGGAATTAAAATGGAACCCTGAATATTGTTCAGTTAATATAAAAAGGCATGAAAGAAAGAACAGAGGAGCAAAAAATGATGGAACAAATAGAACATAAGAGCAAAATAGGCTGGGTGCAGTGGCTCAGCCTGTAATCCCAGCACTTTGGGAGGCCGAGGCGGGTGGATCACGAGGTTAGGAGATCGAGACCATCCTGGCTAACACGGTGAAACCCCGTCTCTACTAAAAATACAAAAATTAGCCGGGCATGGCGGCGGGAGCCTGTAGTACCAGCTACTCCAGATGCTGAGGCAGGAAAATGGCATGAACCCGGGAGGCGGAGCTTGCAGTGAGCCGAGATCCCGCCACTGCACTCCAGCCTGGGTAACAGGACCAGACTCCGTCTCAAAAAAAAAAAAAAAGAAAAGCAAAAATAGTAGGCTTAAATCCAAACTTTTCAATAATTATTTCAAATGTAATTTAAATACTCCAAATAAAACACAGATTGTCCAACTGGATAATAAAAGTACCTATAAGAGATGCATGCCAAATATTATGGTATAGATAAGTTGAGAGTAAAATAATTTCCAAGTATACCAAGGAAACAACAAGCAAAAGCAATCTTATGTGGCTATATTAATATAAGAAAAAGTAGACCTCCAAACAAGCAATATTACAACAGACAGCTATTTCATAATGATAAAATGTCAAGTAATTATGAAGACATAATGCTGTATTGCTGACAGAATAACTAAAGAAAATTAAGATAAAATAATTTTGACAACAACTTGACCTAATCGATATTGACTAAGACAATAGAATATATGTTCTATTATGCTACACATGAAACATTTATCAATAGGCTATAGACCACAAAATATCTCTCAAGAAGTTTCAAAACACTGTAATCATAGAAAGTATGCTTTCTGACCATAATGAAAATGAGTTGAAATGGGTAAAAACAAGCTACCCAGGAAAGTCTACACTATTGGAAGATTTAAATACATCTTAAAATGCCCTTTAGCTCAAGGAAGAAATCATAAGAAACACCTTTAAATACATTGAACTGAATACAAATAAAAATATACTATATCAAAATGTATGGGATAAAGTTAAGCAGACCCAGAGTAAATTTTTTGTATAAATGCTTATTCTAAAAAAGAGAAGTTCAAAACAAGTGAACTAATTTTCTACCTTAAAAAGAAAATCTAAAACAAGAGAGAAAATTAAGTCCAAAACAAGTAGAAGAAAAGAAATAAAACAGAAATTAGAAATCAATGAGACAGAAAACAGAAACAGGAGAAAATCATCATGACCAAAAGTTAGTTCTGTGAGAAAGAAAGAAAACATAAATTATAAATATCATGGATTAATGAGACTGTACAGTTGTAGACACAAGAGACATTAACAAGATAATGGAATATTGTGAAACATTTTATACTAATTTTCATTACTTGGATGAAAGGGTGAATTCCTTGAAAAAAACTTATAAAAAAATTCACAAGATTAAATGGAACATATGAAGTAATTGACATTTATTAAAGTAATTAAATTAATTGTCAAATACCTGCACATAAAAACATAAAACTAAAGAAATAAAAAAATAAGCAAACTCCACATCCAAAGAGTTTTGCTGGTGAATTC